>NC_000003.12:167038907-167190422 GCF_000001405.40 Homo sapiens | reverse complement strand
GGCGACAGAGAGAGACTCCGTCTCAAAAAAAAAAAAAAAAAAAAAGTAGGTAAGTTTTAGTTCCTAAGAGAAATGTTATGTATTTTATATTATTTCATCTTAACAATTCCATAGAGATTATTTTATTGATGATGAAATTATGGTTTCACTTTGTCAAAGTTTTTAAAATTGCAAATGATGTAACTGTAGTTGAACAAAACTTTTTTTATGATTCTGAAGACAATGATCTTTCCCTCTATACTATCTAGACATTATGCATATAATGTCCAAAACATATGCATATACAAGACATGACAATATTTATGAAAAAGGATGTAATTTCAGCCTTGTTTGTGATAAAAAGGAAAATAGAAAACTAAATGTCTATCAATAACATATTTCTAACTAAAATACATGTGTCCATGTGATTCTATGACATTATGAAAAAGTAAGGTAGCTCTACCTGGACCCTGACAGAAAGCTGTTTAGTGAAAAAGGAGGTTTCAAATAACTAAGTAAAATATGAAAAATCTGTTCAAATTGTCTGTCTGCTGCAATGGTGGAATTGTCATTATATATTTATCCAAAAACCCATTGAATGTAGAGCATTAAGAGTGAACATAATGTAAACTATGAATTTTGGGTGATAATAATATATCAGTGCAGTTTCACAGCTCATAATAAATGTATCACTCTGGTGTGGGATGTTGATTGTGGCATAGGCTATTCCCTTGGGATGGGGTTATATGGGAAGTCTGTATGTTCCTCTAAATTTTGCTGTGAACATAAATCTGTTCTAAAATGAAAGTCTATTTTAAAAATGTATACGTCTGTATGAAGTAGACAATATTCTGAAAAAGAATTGTACTTAACTATTGATAGTTATTACTCTGGGATGTGGAATTTATGGGAATCTGGTGTGTGTGGATGTGTGTGTATGTGTGTGTTTGTGTACACATGAGTGTGTGCATGTCTAGCATTCACTTAAGCATACTTCAGAATTATTTTTGAAACTTCTGAGAAGCACCACACACTTGTTCTGGGCTTGCAGACATCCGTCACAACTTGGAAGGCACATATTTTCATATTAACTGGGGTGAGTGTAAGAAAGAGTCTCCAGATGCCAATATGAAGAGAAATTTTCTAAAAGTGGGTATATTTTGTTCAGATAACAGGGATATATTTTCTCCTCCAATATCTGAAGGCTTTGTATGACTTTCAGTCTTCTAGAGTCATGTAATCTGAGGATATAGCGGACAGGTACTTTGTCCTGTTATGTTAAATTTTTGGCAATTTAACATAATTTGCATTTCAGATGATACTCTAGACCAAACTTAATTCTGAGAAAGAGGCATTCTCAAATATTTTATGAACTCCCAAATTGTAGGAATTTTCCAAGTTCACTCCCATGTCTATACATCTCTCAATCCCAAAATGCAACAATTCACCTTCATAAGATAGGTAAAGTATGAAAATCACCTGTAGCTTTTGTCCAGAAGATTCTTACTGTGTCTTTTTAAATCTCAGGGTTTCCTCAATAACTTCTTTTAAGGCTTTTTGCCAAAAAGCCCCAGCTTTGTTGTAATATGCCAGATCAGAAGAAACCTACACCCTTTACCTTTTCCACCACAGGTTTGTTTATCTGGGACACTCTCACCTAGGACAAGGTCAAGAATCAGACTTGCTTATTCAGGTGTTTTAACTAAAGCAACTGGCAGTAAATGAATAAAGGAAAGTTATTATGTAGATAAATGACAAATAAAAGTTATCAGGTCTTGAAGTCAGCAAAAGGAAAAGGAAATAAGTTTGTTTGTGGTCTTAACACCTCTTATCATAAATATTAGATGTGTGTCTCACTCTCAGTAACATGGTGATAAATATTTTAAATTACATTGTAGATTTTTTTCTTATGCTGATCACAAACTGATCAAATTTATAATATTTATTTATCCTTTAAGATTTATTTTAGACATCATAGCCTATCAGAAAATTTTAGTGCCCCTCTTAAAGCGTTATAAATGTTTCCCTTGTACATAATTCCATTACAGAATTTTCACATCGTTTTACACAATCTGTCTAAGTGTCATCTTCTCCCACTGATTGGTGAGATTCTTTAAAAATACATATTTTATATCTATCTTTTTTTATCTGAAGATTTTACTAAAAGGTCAGAAGCAGTAGATACTCAATGAATGTTTTGATAATTGAAAGTATGAATGAATGTATAAACAAAATCTTCCCTGAACACCAATACTATGTTAAAAAATTGCCTGGTTTCTTTCCCCATGTTTTCCTTCCAAATAATTGTTTTTATGGTAATTCCACTGATCCCATGGAGTTTAATTACATTGCCTTTAATCTGAGTAAGATTTTTTCTCTATTGTGATTTCTTTCTTACAATCCCAAATTTTCCTGTTTGTCTTTAATGTAGACTTTGGAAAATACGTAATTCTGGAAATTCCTAGGATTCCAGGGTTTGCTAGTTTAAGCCATTCTACCAATTATTATAACAGTAGAATGCATTGCAAATATTAACTGTTTTATCTGGTAAGTTCCTGTTGTGTGATTCAGTTCAGGAAATGAACATCGTAAACCATATGTAAGTTTTCATAAATATTGATTAATGAAAAGGTGGGCAGTGTTATGTCCAACTCCAACATTCATTTTGTACCCCTTGCCACCTTGGATAGTAATATACTTAAGTATATATTTTCCACGAGTAGTCTGCTTCAGACATATTTGTTGGGCTCATTTCAATTTATTATTCAAATGCTAATTGGAGCTGCCGAATGTTGCATGACTTACAGCTAATGTTCCAAATAATGTTTGCTTTCATTTTACTAAGCTATAGCACAAGGGAATTTAGTGTGACAATGGAAGGTGCTGTCACTCCTAGTAAAAAGAAATATGTTGTTTGATTCTAGATCCTCTGAAAACCTTCAATGTCAGTCACAAATTACCACTTCTCTACTTGCCAGGATTATTCCAGCTTTGCTCTGATGCACACGCTATTATCTGGCATTAGCAGAATTGGCTCTGAGCACTCCAGATGGGCTACCAATATCCCATGAGCTACTCTTTCTGGGGTAGGGTGAAGGGAGAAGATTTTGCATAGTAAAATTCTCACGTAGAACCACCAATCTGTGATTTTGCTACTCCTTGTCAAAGATGGATTTCTCACTATTACCACTATTCTGCTAGATAAGTACTTGTTACTTTTGCCGTTTCACTTGGCAAACAAGAATTCTTCATTTTAATAAGGCTGGTATCTTATATATTATAATGATAGGAGAGGGGAAATTAAACAAAACCGAACAAAATAAAGCTCATCAGCTTGGGTCTACGGTAGCAAACCTTCCCTATTTTAGAATTTTTTACTCTGCAAAATAAATGGTCAAAGCCCCCAAAGCCAAATACTTCAGGGTTGTCACTTTTTCCTGTATAGAAATATAGTATTCCTATTGCAGGTGATGCTTCATCCTCACCTTGGAAATAAAAGTACATTTTAAAGATGAATAGGTAAAATTTAAAATGAGAAAAATATGACACACATTTTAATACCTGCAACAAAAATCAGCAAAATATGACAAGCTATGGAAGCTTTGTGACTATGGCGACCTATTCAATGTGACTTCATTCCTCTATCTGTATCAGCAATATATTTTAACATGAGTATTTCTTTTTAAATCTTCAGCTTAAACTTCTCTGCTCATTTTATTGATTTTGTTGGTTGCAGAAACCCTTTATGTATATATTTGACTGTTATAATGTAAATTTACTGAGGTCTGTCATTTATTTTGAATCTGTGCTTCTCTTTGTAATGTCCTTCTGAAGCAAAGGAATTAAGCAATGTAGTTGCAGGTACCTTGGGAGTAAAACCAAGGGGATCCAAAATGAAATAAGAAGGGCAAAAGTTAAGCATTATCTCAGAAAGCCTTCTTTCAGATCTGCCTCTTAAAATTATTACTCCTTGTTTATAACTGCTTTTCCAATGAGAAATTAGCTTTTTCCATCCCTTCTTCCCTCTCTTCCTTTCCTTCCTTCCTTCCTTCCTTCCTACAAATATTTGAGTACATAGCACTATGGCAGCCAGTATGTTAGCTGCTTATGAACAACTCTTGGTCCCTAGTTTCATTTTATTTAGTTGTCTATGTACAAAGGGCATGGATAGACCATGCTTCAAATGGATATAAAATTGGAAGCCCCCTTTTGAAATAAAGTAATCAGTAATATGCAAGAAAAATGGAAATTAAAACAAAATACTCTATTACTCATATATTAATTAAAAATATTATATATACCATTTTTATCTACCAGTAAGTATAAGATATAATAAAATTGTTAAAGCTTCAATTGTGAGCAGAAACATAAGCAAAAATCTTTCTGGAAAAACATGAATAGTATTTATGAAGGAAAATAAAGTATTTATCTCCTTTGCTATAATGCTGCATATTGAAATTTACCCCAAGAGGAAAAAAAGAAAATTTGGCTGTGTATAAAGATATTCAATGGAGTCTTCTTTATAATGCTAATAAAATTAATATAGCCCAAATGTCCACCAATGAGGAAAGGCTAAGTCAATTATATCTTAACTACCTAGATTAATGTACATATGGAAAATGGTCATTATGAATATGTTTCTATTAAAAATACTTACTTGTAGGTGGAAAAGCAGTATGTGTTGAATTCAGTCATAGAATTACAACATATATAGGCCGTACATGGAAAAATGAAAAAATGTAACATTCTGGAATGGCAAGGTTGTGAATGATATTAAAGAATGCTAGAACTGCAGTTTCAATGTTTTTATGTGCTATCAAAAAGCTGAAAGATAATCTACTTTTTGTGATAATAATAGGACTTAAGTATTCAGCAAGCAAAATAATATAACCTCTTTTCTATTTTCATTTTATTTAAGGTAAAATTTATATAGAAAAATCCACGATTTTTATTTTGTAATTATAAAAGTGTTGAAAAAGTATAAATGTATGTAACTGGAACCACAATCAAAATATAGAATGAAATATCACAAAAGTTCCATTCCTATTCCACCAAATTTTACTGTACCTCTAATAATCAACCACTGTCCCCATCCTCAGCTTTGGTTTTTATTGACCTATAGTTTTACTTCCGAAAGGATGTTATATAACTGGAATTATATACATAGCTTCTTGGGTCTGGCTTCTTTCACTCAGCATAATAGATTTGAGATTTTAAAATGCTGTTGCATGTATTAGTATTTTTTTCTTTTTATTGCTAATTGGTTTTTCATTGTATAGATGTACCACATTATTTTAATCCATTCTACAGTGGAGAAACGTTTAGGTTTGCTCCAGTTTGGAACAATTACAAACCAAGTCTCTATATATACATTAATGTATAGGGTATTTGTTTTCCATTTTAATTGAGATAAATTTAGATTCACATGCATTTGTAAGAAATAATACAGAGAGATCATGTGTACAATTTACCTAGTGTCCCCTAATTGTAACATTTTATGAAGCTACAGTATAATACCACAAACAGTATTGTTGACAATAATGTTGATGATACTGACAATAATTTGGGTTCTTATATAAATTCTTTATTTTGGCAGGCACTCAGCCTGTTTAGGTGTAGCATGCACATTCTGGCCTACTTTTATGGGCTGTATTACCAAATTTAAATTGCCTGGTTACTTTGTTCTGCTTGGTTTACCTGTTGCCACTGCGGCTCCCACTGGTTCCTGCTGGTACTGCTTTCGGAGGTGGAAGGACATTCCCAGGCTAGGACACTGGGTGTCTCTGGGTAGCAGAGATGGATCTCAGGCCTGTTGGAATTATGAGGACTCCTGGACCTGGCTGCTTAATGTAACCGGTTTCCTGTTGACTATTCCTTGAGCCCATCCATTATATATAGGTTTTTATGTGAAAATAAGTTTTCATTTCACTTGGGTAGATACCAGGGAGTAAGATTTCTGGGTCATATGATGAGGGCATATTTAGTATTATAAAGAACTGCCAAGGCCAAGCGGGGTGGCTTGGGCGATCACTTGAAGGAGTTCGACACCAGCCTGGCCAACTATCTCTATCATTTGGCCTAGGTTTGAATAAAGAATAGGGAGCCTGGATAGTGCATAACATCTCAACACAAAGGTCAAGAAGCAACAGGCATGCACCAAAGGAAAACAGCCATGTTATGTGAATCAGTTTTCAAGGCTTAACTTTTTCTCTTGGCATAATGAATTTGAAAAATTCTGAAATTTTATTTTCTTTTTACATATGCATAAATGAAAGTTATTTATGTTTCTCCTATGGGTATTCAATTTGTTTTTAGTACCATTTGTTGAAAAGACAATCCCTTTCACTGAATTTCTTCACGTGTTTATTGATAATCAATTAAACATAGAATTGCAAGAAAAATGGTCTATTTCTGAACTCATCATTCATTTTCATTAGTCTATAGATGTATCCTTTTTACAACACAGAATTGTCTTTACTGTAGATTAAAAATAAGTCTAAGAATCAGTTCTCATGATTCCTCAGACTTTTCCTTTTTTGTTGGGAACAGGCCCCTAAATCTGGCCATAAACAGGTCCCCAAATCTGGCCATAAAAAATAATCTCTGCAGCACTGTGACATGCTCATGATGGCTATGATGCCCATCCTGAAGGTTGTTGGTTTACCAGAATGAGGGCAAGGAACACCTGGCCCACCCAGGGCAGAAAACTGCTTAAGGTGTTCCTGAACCACAAACAATAGCATGAGTGATCTGTGCCTTACGGACATGTTCCTGTGGCGGATTACTAGCCAGAGCCCATCCCTTAGTTTCCCATTTTAGTTAAATTATAATCTACAGGAACAATGCTTATCACTGGCGGCTTCCTGTCGATAAATATGTGGGTAAAACTCTGTTTGTGGCTCTCAGCTCTGAAGGCTGTCAGCCCCCTGATTCCCACTCCGCACTCTATATTTCTGTGTGTGTGTCTTTAATTCCTCTAGCGCCGCTGGGTTAGGGTCTCCCTGATCGAGCTGGTCTTGGCAAGTGGTGCCCATACATGGGGCTTGAACCCGGGTCAAAGGGTCGCCGGAGCAATGGTTGGAGAACGTGGAACTATGCTGGAGGACACCCGAGTACTCTTAAGCAATCCCTGTGGTGAGTAAGAAGGGGAGCTTGGAAACATCAGGGTAATAGTGGGACAAGTGTGGGCTCTGGTTGGTTCCACCTTGGAACCTTTTCACACTGATGATGAGGAGGAAGGAGAGTATAACGAAGTAACAGAAGAGGTGACAGAGCAGGTTTGTTTGCCAGCTAAAGCTAAAGTGGCAAAGGAGGGAGAGGTTTGTCCCTACCCTTCTGCACTCTGTCATTATTTTGAAGAAAAAGAGTGGCTAACCCTCCAGATCTTTCTTTTCCAGAGAACACTGGCTGAAAAATAGCGGCCCCAGTGACTGTTTGGGCAGCGCCTAGAGCGACCACTCTCAATTCTATTCGGGCAGGAATTCAGCAAGCTAGATGAGAGGGTGATATAGAGGCATAGCAGTTCCCTGTTAGGATACACCCCCCAGATCAACAGGGAAATAATATAGCTACATTTGAGCCTTTTCCTTTTAAATTACTCAAAGAATTTAAACAAGCTATTAATCAATATGGACCAACAGTCCTTTTGTAATGGGACTGTTAAAGAATATTGCTGTTTGCAGTCAGATGATTCCTATTGACTGGGACACTCTTACTCAAGCTTGCCTGACTCCTGCTCAGTTATTAAAATTTAAAACTTGGTGGGCAGATGAAGCTTCCATTCAGGCTGCTTGCAATGCCCAGGCCCAACCTCAAATTAATATAACTGCAGACCAACTTTTGGGGGTTGGTGACTGGGCTGGTTTAGATGCAAAAGTGGTCATGCAGGATGATGCCATAGAAGAGCTTAGAGGAGTGTGCATTAGAGCTTAGGAAAAAATCGCTTCAGGAGGAGAGCAATACCCTTCCTTTAGTGCTGTAAAGCAGGGACCAAAAGAACCGTATGCAGATTTTACAGCTCAGATATAGGAGTCTCTTAAAAAGGTGATTGCAGATTTGGCTGCTCGGGATATAGTGTTGCGGTTACTAGCTTTTGACAATGCTAATCCCAAGTGCCAGGTTGCTCTGCCACCTATTAGGGGGAAAGTGCATTTAGTTGATTATATCAAGGCCTGTGATGGTATTGGAGGTAATCTGCATAATGCTACTTTGTTGGCACAAGCCATAGCAGGACTGAAAGTGGGTAGAGGATATACTCCATTTCCTGGAGCTTGTTTTAACTGTGGGAAGCATGGTCACACTAAAAAAGACTGTAAAAAAAATCAGCGAGTCAGGCTGCCAGTTGGGGGGAAAAAGAAAACTGCTGAGTCTGGAATATGTCCAAAATGCAAGAAAGGAAAACACTGGGCTAATCAGTGTCACTCTAAGTTTAATAAAGATGGGACCCCAATTTCGGGAAACACCATGAGGGGCCCGTCCCAGGCCTGCCCCCCACCACAGCTGGTAGTGCCACAGTAGATTTATGCTGCACAAAAGATGTTAGCCTTCTGCCTGGGGAACCCCTACAAAAAGTGCCAACAGGAGTCTATAGACCCTTGCCAGCGGGGACAGTAGGATTACTTCTAGGTAGGTCTAGTTTAAATTTAAAAGGAGTGCAAGTACATACAGGAGTTATTGATTCAGATTACAATGGGGAAATTCAAGTTGTTATATCTACTTCTGTTCCCTGGAAAGCAGAGCCAGGAGAGTGTATAGCACAGCTCCTGATTGTGTTGTATGTGGAAATGGGGAAAAGTGAAATTAAACGAACAGGAGGATTTGGAAGCACAAATAAGGCAAAGCAGCTTATTGGGTGAATCAAATTATTGAAAAACATCCTGCCTGTGAAACAACTATTCAGGGAAAGAAATGTAAAAGTTTGTTAGATACAGGAGTGAACATTTCAATCATTTCTCTACATCATTGGCCTTCCGCATGGTCAATTCAACCTGCTCAATTTAACATAGTTGGAGTTAGTAAAGCCCCTGAAGTATATTAAAGTAGTTATATTTTGTATTGTGAAGGGCCTGATGGACAACCTGGGACCATTCAACCAATTGTAGCTTCTGTACCTATAAATTTATGGGGGAGAGATTTATTACAACAATGGAGAGCACAAGTTCTAATTCCAGAGCAATTATACAGCCCTCAAAGTCAACATATGATTGATGAAATGGGGTATGTCCTTGGTATGAGACTAGGAAAAAATTTGCAAGGTTTGAAGGAACCGCTTCAAGTGGAAAGACAAAGTTCCTGCCAAGGTTTAGGGTATCATTTTTGATGGCGGCAGTTGTTAAGCCTCCAGAACCTATACCTTTAAAATGGTTAACAGATAAGCCAATTTGGATAGAACAATAGCCACTAACTTAAGAGAAACTGGAGGCTTTAGAGGACTTATTTACTGAACAATTAGAAAAAGGACACATAGTTCCAACATATTCCCCCTGGAATTCTCCAGTCTTTGTTATTAAGAAAAAAATCAGGTAAATGGGGAATGTTGACAGATCTTAGAGCCATTAATTCAGTTATACAACCCATGGGGGCATTACAGCCAGGATTGGCTTCTCCTGCTATGATTCCAAAAAATTGGCCTTTAATAGTCATAGATTTAAAAGACTGTTTCTTTACTATCCCCTTAGCTGAACAAGACTGTGAACAGTTTGCGTTTACAATTCCTGCGGTAAACAACCTGCAGCCTGCTAAGCATTTTCATTGGAAAGTGTTGCCACAAGGCAAGTTAAACAGTTCAACAATTTGCCAGACTTATATAGGGCAAGCAGTTGAATCTACCCATAAAAAATTTTCACAGTGTTATGTTATTCATTATATGGAGGATATACTTTGTGCTGCCCCCACTCAAGAAATATTATTCCAATGTTATGATCACTTGCAAAATTTGATTTTTCACACTGGTTTAATTATAGCTCCTGACAAAATTCAGACTACTACTCCTTACTCCTACTTAGGAATGTTAGTAAATGACACTACAATGGTGCCACAGAAAGTAACCATTCGTAGGGATCAATTGAAAACATTAAATGACTTTCAAAAATTACTATGGGACATCAATTGGATACGACCTGCTCTAGGCATTCCTACTTATGCCATGAGTAGTCTGTTTTCTATCCTTAGAGGAGATCCTAGTCTCACTAGCCCTCAGCAATTAACAAAGGAGGCTGAGGCAGAGTTACAGCTAATTGAGAAACAAGTGCATAATGCTCAAATAAATAGAATAGATCCAGAGAAGACTCTAGATTTGCTCTTTTTTTCAACCCAGCATTCACCTACTGGTGTTGTTGTTCGAGAGCAAGATCTTGTAGAGTGGCTTTTTCTTCCACATACTAATTCACAGACTTTGACTTCTTATTTGGATCAAATTGCTACTATGATAGGAAATGGGAAAACTTGGATTGTTAAATTACATGGATGTGATCCTGGAAAAACTATTGTCCTCACGAAGGCAAAAATACCGCAAGCCTTTATAAATAGTCTTACTTGGCAAACCCATTTATTTGACTTTGTGGGTATTCTCGATAACCATTTCCTAAAATGAAACTGTTTCAGTTTTTGAAATTAACTAATTGGATTCTCCCTAAAATAACTAAATTTAAACCAATTGAAGGTGCTGAAAATGTCTTCACAGATGGGTCTAGTAATGGTAAAACTTCTTATTCTGGCTCAAAAGGTAAAGTTTTCCAGATGCCCTATACTTCAGCTCAAAAAGCGGAGCTTGTAGCTGTAATTGAGGTATTGACTGCTTTTGATATGCCTATTAATGTGATTTCTGATTCTTCATATGTGGTTCATTTCACACAATTAATTGAAAATACTCAGTTATGATTTCATACAGATGAACAACTGATGACTTTATTTACCCAATTGCAAACAGCAGTTAGGAATAGAATGCACCCTTTTTACATCACTCACATTAGGGCTCATACCCCTCTTCCAGGACCTTTGACTGCAGGGAATCAAATGGCTGATGGCCTAGTTGCTACTGCAATATCTAATGCCAGACACTTTGACAATTTAGCCCATGCTAATGCCTCTGGTCTCAAACGCAAATACAGCATTACCTGAAAAGAAGCTGAAGCTATTATCCAGCAATGCCCAACTTGCCAAATGGTGCATTCCTCATCTTTTAGAGGAGGAGTTAATCCTCAAGGATTGGAACCTAATTCTCTTTGGCAAATGGGTGTCACCCATGTTCCCTCATTTGGGAGACTAGTTTATGTACATGTATGTGTGGACACCTTTTCTCACTTTGTCTGGGCTACATGCCAATCATGAGAGTCTTCTGCCTGTGTTAAATGTCACCTTTTGCAGTGTTTCTCGGTGATGGGCATTCCAGCTTCTCTTAAAATGGACAATGCCCCAGGCTATACTAGCCAAGCTCTCTCTATGTTTTTCTCTATATGGAATATTAAACACATTACTGATATCCCATATAATTCTCAAGGACAAGCCATAGTGGAAAGAATGAATCTCTCCCTGGAGCAGCAGTTGCAAAAGCAAAAGCGGGGAGACAGGGACTAAGGCACACCACATATGCGATTGAATCTAGCATTATTGACTTTAAATTTTTTGAGCCTGACTAAAGGCCAGATGCTATCAGCAGCTGAACAGCATCTACAGAAACCAGATGCAAAGAAAGAAGCAGAACAACTGGTTTGGTGGAGAGATCCGATAACAAAAAGTTGGGAAGCAGGTAAAATAATAACTTGGGGTAGAGGTTATGCTTGTGTTTCTCCAGGACCTTATCAGCAGCCAATTTGGGTGCCGTTGAGACATCTGAATCCTTATCATGAGCCAGATGCCGAAGAAGAGATTCTGGGAGGAACCTGAGGATCCCCCAGTTGCAGCCATGTCAAGACTGATGCTGAGGAGGACCCCAACTGTCACGAGCAACACCCGTCGAACACAGCCACCTACCTGTGGACAGATCACGAAGCTGTCACAGATGGCGGAAGAAAACCTGAGGAAAGCAGGACAACCAGTCACAGTGAGTAATTTAATGATAGCTATGATAGCGGTGATCACCATTGCCAAGAGTATTCCTTTAGCAAGGGCTGACACAGAGAATAATTATACTTATTGGGCATATTTACCTTTTACACCACTTCTACGGCTTGTAACTTGGCTAGACACCCCAGTGGAGGTATACACTAATGATAGCTCTTGGATGCTAGGTCCTACAGATGATAGAGGCCCATCTCACCCACATGAGGAAGGAACTGTTATGAATATTTCTTTAGGGTATGAACATCCGCCTATCTGTTTGGGAAAGGCCTCTAGTTGCCTACCCCCTTGCTATCAATCTTGCCTGGCAATAATGCTTGGATGTAATCACTTTATGACACAGTTGCATGTGCTTTCTGGTCTCAGTATTTACCATAATGAATCTCCTCCTATAATTGAGACATACCGCCCTCAAAAACCTATTTGTAAACAGGATTGGACCTGGTCAGAATAAATGAACGTACTTGTTTGAGAAGATTGCATTGCAGAACAGGCAGAGGTGCTGCACAATGATTCCTATGGAATCGTTATTGATTGGTCCTCTAAGGGGATGTTTAGCTTGAATTGAACCTCTCTTTCTGCGTGCCATGGCCACACTATGTTCAGCTGGTCTGAACAAAATGGTCAGATGGTAGAAACGGTAAGAAGTATGGCAAGAGTTCCTATTATCTGGAAACATGGCGGTGTAGTGGCACCTCATCCTCAAATGATATGGCCCACTCTAGGAGCTAAACATAAGGATTTGTGGAAACTATAAGATCAAAATTTGGGAAATAATAAAAAAGTATCTAGAAGGACACTCTACAAAGTTGTCTTTGGATTTTGCAAAATTAAAAGAACAAATATTTAAAGTATCCCAGGGACACCTGACCTTAATGCCAGGAACTGGAGTGCTTGAAGGAGCTGCAGATGGATTAGCAGCTATCAACCCATTAAAATGGATAAAAACACTTGGAGCCTTTATGATTTCTATGATGGTTGGCTATTAATCTGTGTTGTTTGTCTTTGTATAGTCTGCAGATGCGGATCCCAACTCCTGTGAGTAGTTCACAGTGATAAAGCCGCCTTTGCTTTTATCGTCTTGCAAAAACAAAAAGGGGACATGTTAGGAACAGGCCCCCACATCTGGCCATAAACAGGCCCCCAAATCTGGCCATAAACAAAATCTCTGCAGCACTGTGACATGCTCATGATGGCTATGATGCCCATGCTGAAGGTTTTTGGTTTACCAGAATGAGGGCAAGGAACACCTGGGCCACCCAGGGAGGAAAACTGCTTAAGGTGTTCCTGAACCACAAACAATAGCATGAGCGATCTGTGCCTTAAGGACATGTTCCTGCTGCAGATTACTAGCCAGAGCCCATCCCTTTGTTTCCCATTTTAGTTAATTTATAATCTGTAGCAACAGTGCTTATCACTGGCTTGCTGTCAATAAATACATGGGTAAAACTCTGTTCATGGCTCTCAGCCTGTTGAGATATCTGATGTATGGCCCAATGACATAGCCCCAGAAATAGGGAATTAATTTTTTAATATCCTTTCCTCATCTGCAATGGTTATTCATCAGTACCCTGAAGGCAACAAGATTTTGCTACCCTAACCCCAGCTACTAAACACGATCTTGCCCTAAGTTTTCCGTTGGGGAGATGGGTGAGAAGAGTTCAGGCAGAACTTTGTGCCTTTTCTACTTTGCTGTTTTCCTTCTGAGCACTTACACTATGGGGGAAGCTTTTTCAAACTATGAGTGATCCCTATCCAGTGTTTCTTGTGAGCATCATTTAGGTCTTTGGAGGAGAGTACTTGTGTTGGTGTGAATTCACCTAGTATCCTTGGCTTCCAGAAATTCTATATTCTCATTCCTGCTCACATCTGGACTTTAGGAATGGGTTACTAATTGTACCTGAATTCTTCTCTTCATATTGTTTGGCTTCAGGTAGATTCTCTCTATAGTAAGCAAGTGCTCTTATCATTCTTCTCTTTGGATTTATCTCCTTAGATTTTCAGATTAGTTTTTGTGCTGACCTGAACTCTATAATGGGTACCAGAAAAGTGGTGAATTTACTGTTGTTGTAACAATAGAAGTAATGTTTTTTAAGCCTTCTGTATCTTAAGCAGAAGTCACGAGTCTCTCTGGTTTCTTCTAGAAAATGAAAGAATGTAAGGACAACTTTAACTTTCACTTGAATGTGATTTTTAGATTAACCCATTTAGCCAAACTGATCTGAATCATGGACAAAATCATAGCCACACACAATGTATCCAAATTCTTAAAACACTCATGAGAGCAAGTCATAGGTAGTGTTTGAAGTTGCTTTGATCATTTGTGCATAAATATAGAGTTGAAGTAAAACTATCTATAGGCAGTTAGTGTTAAAGGATACTACAACAGGCAGTTATCATGTTAGAAACTACTATTTACATAATCTCATGTCGAAAATTGTACATACATTATCTATAATTTTTACAACACTACTTTCAAGTAGGGGTTATGGTTCCACCTTCTACAGATGAGACAACTGAATTCAAAAAAGATTAAATTATATCCCAGGTAATAGAGGTAATAAAAAGCAGAATCATAATTTGACTCTAAGTTTAATTAGCTCCAGGACAAGTCCTTTTTTTCTTTACAATTTCAAAATTTGTGTAACCTCAGATTTTTTTTTTTTTTTTTGACAGAGTCTCACTTTGTCGCACAGGCTGGAGTGCAGTGGTGCGATCTTGGCTCACTGCAACCTCTGCTTCCCGGGTCAGGTGATTCTCCTGCCTCAGCCTCCTGAGTAGCTGGGGCTACAGGTGCATGCCACCATGCCTGGCTAATTTTTGTATTTTTTAGTACAGACAGGGTTTCACCATATTGGCCAGGCTGGTCTTAAACTCTTGACCTTGTGATCCACCCACCTCGGCCTCCCAAAATGCTGGGATTACAGGCGTGAGCCACCACACCCAGCCTACCTCAGATTTTACTGTACGATTATAGACTTACTGACACTTGAAAGGACCAGTGGATTTTAATTTCCTTGGCTAGATTTAAAACAAAATGACAACAAAAATGAAAAATTGCTATTTGGTCTTCCCTTACCTAAGGATTTGAAAGGAGGAGATGATAGTTGGAGATTTTTGGTTTGTAATAAAGTTTTATTTTTCAACATGGCCTCTATCAGCACTTAGCATATTTTTCATCTTAGAAATGGTTGTAATTCTTAATTTTCTATCTTTTGAAATATGATAGAAGATTTCATATATTAATAGATTTGGTGATTTTACCTGTTTCAAAACAAACATATTAGGTATGTTTTTAATGGGCGGTCAGAGTAAGTTTACCATAAAGCTAAAGAATATAGTTTTAAGGACCCTCATTGACCCCTTCGTTGGCCTAATTATGTATTTGTTATATTGTATTTTCTTAGAACTCCACCTCTCACAAATTGTATAAATTTTAGGGTCCAAAAAACTGGTCCCTTAACCCTGGGCACAATTTTTAATCTTCTAGAGTTTTAGATATTTTCTGCCAGTTTAGCTGTGAAGTTTTGAAATCTGGTCTTATTTAACTTAAGCTTATCATGAAGTCTCACAGAAATCAGACTGCTCTTTAATTAAAAGAATAGTATTCCAATGGGCTATCATTTGTAACAACAAAGCACCTCTGAAAAATGACTTTGGCAAGCAAATTCAATGATATATTTTAGATAATTGCCTATCTTTGTTCACCACTGAAAGCTTTGTGTTGTAAAAATTTAGTAAAACATCAGGAAATATTCAGATATATTGCTTTAGAGACAACATAGGAAATGAGGTCAAGAAAACCATCTGGATGTAGATGAATGAAAAACATAAATGAATTATTTTTCCTTATTTCTGAGTAAATGTGAATGCAACCATTTTTAGGTTTAATCTTTGCTGAGGGCTTTTCTTTACAACTGATAATTTTGAAGAAAATGCTTAAACTAATTAAAACCTAATATAAAGGCAATTGTTGCATATTACATCAGGTAATTCTCAAGAAGTACATTTTTGACTATTTAAAAGACAGTTACAATTTGCAAGAGTTGAATATACAATGGTGTTTGCAAGTGAAATTCACTTTTGAATATGGATTAAAATTCTCCTGTGTTAGATAAGAATCACCAACTTAAATTTCATATGCTAACTGAAATGTGTCTCTTTGGAAAGTCATAATTCCCTTTAGCCACTGTGTATTTTGGATGATGAGTTTTCCCTTCCTGAAATATATTTGTTCTATAATTTCAGTTATGTTGACCATATTTACATAATTTTCTTCCTTTAGCAAAATTCTATAATTTATTAAGGAACCACAGTATTCTATTAATTTGTATGTACAAATTGCCATAAGATTCACTTTGGAATGAGAAAGCAAAAAAAAAAAAAAAAACGTGAAATAGAGAGCTCATGAAGTAAAAACATTTCTGAATTTAATATATTCTTATTCTCAGTATACGCCACCAACAAGTCTGTTTGTAGTAGATGAAAGTCATCATTCTCAAAGGAGAGTGTAGAGGAACACTTCAGCTTGGGATTTGACCCAAACATAAATGACTATTTAAAGTGGATTTATTTAAAGAATTCAATACATGAAATGGCCTTAGGCATCTAAATTGGTGATGACTAGCAATATAAAGTATAACTTAAAGACCTACATTAATGCATTTCCATTTGCCTGACAAAGGTGTGTGTGTGTGTCTGTGTGTGTGAATCATGTGTCTTATAGTCACTCAGATAAGAGTCTTTATCTTGCTGACTTTTTCAAAAGTTGGGTTTCAGTTTTCAAGAAAAATTATGCAGATTTGTGAGTTACTTCTCTTAAAGTGACTGTATTTCAATAGAAAAGTCAGCTTAATATGCCTTACTTCACTCTTAATACTTTTTATAGGTTGTCTAATATTAGAGTTGTGTAAACCTTAAAGTATTTTGGTTTATTTCAAAATATGAATATTCAATGAAACAGCAAATAAATTGATGCCTCTTTGTTTTTCCTATCCCTGTAATTATAGAGAATAACACTCTTGTTAGTTCACCCAGCTAAGCTATTAAGAGAATTTGTCTAAATAAGCTAATCTCCATGGCTTTCATTATATAGATCATAAAATTATTGATAGCACTCTCCAGATTGTAGGATGTACTTTTAGGGAACAATACATTGCATGAAAAACCATAGCTCTATAATGTTTCTGAAAAAATAAAGACAAATATACTTTATATAAAAACTATATATTTTGTATTTGATCAATTTTTTGTAGTTATTTAATGGTGTTTTGGGGGGACTATTTTGTCAGGAGAAAGGGGCTATTATATCTAGGATAGGCATGTTTCAAATGTTTACATAAAGCCAGAAGAAAATACATTGAATAAAAATCAAAAGTAAAAAAAGAAGGTAGAGGTGTGTTCCATAATCAGGATTAAAATATAGTCTGTTGTTACAGTAAGGAAAACCTGCATAGCTTATCAAAACATAAGTCCTGAGAAGAGTTAGGTTTGACTAAGTCAGTAGAAAAGAACTCTTTGCAGGTGTATGTATGCTGGGCTAATATTTTGCCCTGCTCTGCTGCTTTTCCAGCTAATGAATGCATGTTATACACAAACCTCCTTTATTTTTACCCTCCTCTTCCAACTTGCAAACATAATAGATATGTTGCCTGATATGTGCAGCAAGTCAATACACTGAGACACCAAGTTGCAGCAGAAAAAGAAGTTTAATCATAGAGCCGCTGAACAAAGAGACAAGAGGAAATCTCAACTCCATCTCCCTGAAGAGTATGGGGCTAGTGTTTTTAAGGGTTTTGGAATGGGTCAAAGTATAAAGTTATTGATTGGCCAAAGAGTACAGGGTGAAGTCATGAGACAGGGAAATAAACTGTATTCTCATGCTGATTTGGTTCTTCTGGTGTCACTATTTTGCTGAAATTTGGGATCTGAAAAACATCTTAAGTAATTCTTAAACAAAAGCCTTAATATTCTAATGTTAGATAATATATCTGTAGGAACAATGAGGATGCAAATCAATTCTTAAACAAAATTCTTATGACCCTAACCTCAGAAATTCTATCTATAGAAACAATGGGAATGTAAATGATCAGCATCTGGTTCTATGTGAGTTTCAGCAACAAGGAAGTGGGTTAAAATGCAGGCTGATGATGGTTAAGTATAACTATATTTCTGTCCAGAATTTTTGTTAACCCAGTGAGGATGACTTCAAACTGAGCTATTGACTACTGGGAAATGGGTGATATAAGAAAAAGTGATGAGTGTTGAACATCAAGTCTATTTTACTACATTTAGTGTACTATGAGGACACTTTCCTCTATGAGTCTAAGAAATTTTGAATTTCATGTAAAATAGAGAAATATGTGCATAACAAAATCTCTACATATGTATTTAATTCTTTGCCCTTTCTTGTCAAGAATTTGGCTGGACTTTGTCTCTGGTTTCTGAGAAGTAACCTCCAAACCCTTGTAATAAAAAATTTTGCTGGATTTTGTTCCCAGTTGAGCAGTAATTTCTAGATTCTTAGAATTTTCTTAGTGATAGGAATGTCTTTGTTATTCCTGGTGTGCTTTCTGAACAACCCCTAATAGTTTAGGCAATTAGATAACTCAGGGTGGACTCCTAGATAGTTTATGTGATTGAGAAGAAGTCGGATAAGAACTGTCCATACTAGAAAGCCCAACCACGTGATTAGAGAGTTGAGACTTTGAGCCACATGCTACCAGCCTAACATCTGGGGAGAGTTAGGGTGGTAGGAGGTTGAGTTCAACCAGGTGGCCAATGATTCAATCAATTATGCTTATGTAATAAAATCCCAATAAAAATCTGAACACCAAGCTCAGGTGAACTTCCTTGGATGGCAATACTCTGCATATTGTCACACTTCATGTGCCAAATGGTTAATGCATCTCTGGAGACAATAAAAGCTTTGTGTTTAAAACCGTCTAAGACCTCACTCTATGCATGTCTCCCTGTACTTTGTTCTGATTTCTATCCTTTTGCAATAGTATAACCTTAATAGTTAAGTATTATGTTTTATTGAGTTCTCTGTGTTGTTCTAGTGAATTATTGAAACTAAGGGGGTAGTGGGAACCCCTGAATTTGTAGCTGACAGATTACAAGTGAAAATGGCTTGGGGACCCCAAAACTTGCATCTGGTGTCTGAAATAAGGGCAACGTGGAAGATTGTTCTCTTAACCTGTAGAATTTGACCTGTTTCTGGGTGGTTGGTGTCAGAAATTATTGCACGCCATGAACCCAATCTTCACTTCATAATGAAAACTCAAGAATAAAGATATATTCAACAATATAGCATTTTGGATAAAGGCTGTAAAAATGAATAAAATCCATTTAATTTAAAAATATAATTAAAATTATAATATGAAGCATACTTTGTTAGCAGGCTTTAAATTAGGTATAGAAGAAATGGTTTTCATCACGACATATTCTCCTCCATATATCACTCAGACACTTCATTTAAGTCAAACTAATTGTCATAGGCTAGCTGTTGATTACTGTTAATGTCTGAGGGACAGATGTGGTTTTTTTTATTAAATCAGAAAGCTGGTCACTTCATAAAGAATGTGTTAGAAAGTGCATGTTAATTTACAGGTGATAGATAATGCATACGTCAATAGAAAGAATGAAAATAAATAAACACAACATTTTAGATTTAAGTAGTGGTAATAGTGCAGCACAAATCTAATGATTACATTTAAAATTAATAAGCAAATAATGAAGAAATGATTAGATAGTCTTGGGGGTTTGGTAAACTGAAGGATAGTGAGTCAATGTAATGGCCAGTACTTATTGCTTAGTAAATAAACTAGATGTTGAGGTGTAATAAATAGGTGCCTCCATTTGCCTTTTTATTGTTATTAAGGCTGAAGCCTTGTGAAACATCCCTGCAGGTTTAATAATAGTGAGTAATGTAGAACTCAGTGGGCTGGTCACTAGCACATGCAAGATGGACAAATTCTAAGAAGACCTTTATAAATTACTCTGGTATAATCACTACCTGGCTCCTAAATCCATCTTCTCAGTGGATATGAATTGAAAATAATGAAGTGCTCCATATAGTGAGGCGACTTAGTAGATAATGATGACAGAAAGGAGTTGACTGAGCACATAGAGAAACAACAGAATCTGAGAATATGGTACTGAATGTTAAAGATTATAATTTAAAATAATAGCAAGATGAATTTGTTCCAGCAATCTGCCGTACAGCATTGTAACAATAGTTAGCAATACTGCATTATACATTTACCATTTTTTAGGGTAAGTGTTCTTACAAAACACATAGAAATTTTTTTTTCCTATGAGGACATATTTTATATCTCAGGTTGTAATAACAGTACATTTAGATTGGCATATCAAAAAACTTACATGGAAAGTCCTCAGCAATTTTCTTTTTCCAAGTGACATTTGCAACCATATGAAATGACTGATGTTTTCTCTACCTTGAATAAAACACCACTGGTATTACAGGTGGCTTAGTAAATAGGTATAATATTTTGATTCCATGACTGTACACAACCTGTACACAACCTGCTTTTATTTTTTTTTTAAACCAGCTAGATAACCTGACTTTAAGTTTTGGACTTTAATTTTTGTTTTTAATTTGGTTGTACTCTACTTCTCTAACGGTGCTTGATTGTTGCTTCTTGTGTGGATTAGGCTCATTTGTGGAGATACTCTTAGAGTTGGAATGGCTTTTAGAGGTTATTAGTTCATATGGTGTCGCCGTGTGGCCATTTTCTCTCTCCACCGCGACTGACAAGTAGACACGTGGAAGTTATGCTTGATGACACCTAACCAGTGATGCAGGATAAATGATCTTTCCCACCCTTCATCTCAGCCTTTGGTATTTCCATGAAAGCATATGATTCTCGAGGTCATTTTGCAATTATGAGAGGAAAATATAAGATAATCATAGAGAGCTGGCTGAGTTACCCTGAAAGTGCTTACCACGGGCTATCTTGTTATATTAGACGTTTTTTTTTAAGCAAGCAGTCTGCTGCTTTCAAGCTAACATCTTCCTAAATGACATATTCTTTTCTGGTTCATTGTGAATATCCTCAGTGTTTAAAGTGCTTAATATCACATGGATTCTATACCCTGATTATACTCCAGAGCCACAGTCGTTATTAATTTCTCTCATGAAATATGATACCCTAAATTGAAGATTATATCCTGTTCAGGACTCTGATCAACACTGCTTGAGAAGACCTTTCTATTTTTGACAGTGCTTTTAAAAATTACATTAGTATTCTAACAGATTCGTCAAGCTGTTTGCTGTGATGTGGTTATGAAGCTAAAGATAAACAAACATAAACAGTAACACATCAGGTCACCATTATGCAATCCACTATGAGATCAATATTTGCCATTCTATATGTTGTTTAAAATAAGTGTATAGCATGTGAATGCATTCTCTCTGAAAAAAAGCTAAACAATACATTGGTAAAGTGAGTAAAAAGAAAGAGTTATTTCATCCCATCACTCAAACACACATCCTTCTCAAGGAGTAACAATTTACAGAAAGTTCTTCTAGACTTTTTTCAATGCATTTGTTTTTATTATGTGTTGTTTCGCACACTGTATGTATTTTTGGAAATTTGCTATTTCTCACTTACAACATATATTGACAGACTTTCAATGTCATTGACTGATGTAGACCCATAGACTTTCAATATCGCTGATAGATGTAGACATATTTTTTATTGTTGCATAGTACCACCTCATTGATGGATATTTCAATGTTATCTTGTTTGTCCTATTACAATGAAACACTGATCAATGCTATTCATTTTCTTCATGTATGTGGGTTAATATTGTTTATAATAGATACAAGGAATACAAGAAGAAAAATAATAGGATCAAAGAACATGTGCTTTTAAATTTGCATATTGTATCAGCCATCGCTCAATCAGGAAAACAAAGCCACCACGAGAATTATGGAAAAAAGGAGTTTAATATAGCCTATTTGAATGATTCTATAGACAATCAGCATTTGTTTTCCAGGAAGATGAATTTTGTTAGCAGAGTATAAGGTTGATTTTATGGAGACTATATTTTTGAAATAATTTAAGGTGTTTGAAAAACACACCTAAGCGTTATTTGTTAAAAATGGTAGAATCATTAAGGTTAATCAGATATATCACAGTGACTAGTAGTACTCAGTGAATTCTCATAATTTTATGTTACCTCAGTATCCACTTTGAATAAGAGTTTACCTTTCTCATACCAGATTTAGGGCTCAGTCACCCTTGACACAGCTTCTAGTTCTATACCACATGCAAATGGCTAATGCAAGTGGTCAGAGGTAAAACCTCAGAGGCATCTCTCCTGCCTGGCAGACTAGGCTTCTGGCCTTCTCACTGCTTCCTTTAAATGGACAATTCAGGAATTTGCCTGTGAACTAGAAGTGACCCACACCATATTTCCTTATATGTACTGCTAGTTGCCACGTGCTCGTCTCTCTTTCTCTGCCTAACTATTCATTCTGACCTCATGCGACCCAGAGATAAAGAACTGCGCTCATTTCACTCTTCTGGCCCAGATCTATAGGTAAAAATCTTTGAACTTGTTTACTATTGTGGTACTATATGGCATTTGTGCCTTCCATCTCAGGGACTAGGGGCTGTCCCAGGGCAAGATTTTCACCCAGGATGCCAGAGAGAATAGCAGGTTGGGCTTGCAATGCCAGAGAAATGGTCAGGCATGTGTAAACTGGACATGGGTCAGATAGGAGCTACAAGGGCATCTGACAGTATAAACAAGTTTTCTGTATGAGGGGCTCTGGATCACAGGCCAGACAACTAATTGGGCATTAGGCTATCTGCCAGGTAAATGGAGTATCTATCCAGTGAAAAGCACACCAAAAACACCCGTGTCTAGCTCCCCTTCATTTTTGGATTGCTAGCTGCTCTGATACTAGAACCCCAAATTATCTATGGTCTCTCAAAAAATAGCGGCTAGAACATTGATTTTGAATAATGGATTAGGTAAAAATATATCAGGAGGATAGATCATGAACAAAGGCACAGAGCTTGGAATTCATGTGCATAACCAGGAAGTAAAAAGTATTTTAGTTTGGATGGAGCACTGGCCATATCGAAGGAAATAATGTAATATAAAACTGAAAATGAGATCCTATCATAAGGAATGAGGTAGAAAGCTTGTTTCATTCTTAGGCATTAATAATAGAACTGGGGAAAGGATAGTCGCAATGAAAATGAAATGGCTCTAGCTAATTTAAGATTGCAAAGATACAATCTACAAAGTTCAACATGTGAAAGGAGTTAGAGAGTGAAGGAGGAGTCACAAGTGCTGCTCCTGATGTAAATTTGCCATAGCCGATAGTGAGTTAGCCCCTAAGTGAACATCTTAAAACCTTATAAACCACCGCCTTCTGTTTGTAAGTCTGCAGGCACTATTAAAATAGTTGAGGGGAAACCAAATGAGAAATAAGGGTTAAGAACTTTATCTGTTGTCCAGACATCTGTACCCTCAGCAAGCTGTCAAAAGAAATGCTGCCTTGGAAGCCAAAGTCACCCAGGGGGCTAATCAGCTTAAACACATGACAAAAGTCAGACAATTCCAAAGTGCTAACAATGTTAACTAACAGTGCTGCCTGCCAAGGAGCTGCGTATCACTGCCAAAATAAAAAGAATGGTTCCCTCTGCTGAGCTTTTGCTTTATTTATTTATTTATTTGCCTTTTTAAACTACACTTGGAGAAGATAGTATTAGAGAGGAACTTAAGAACACTCCATCTGGTGAGAGAGCTGAGTTCACAAAGTTTGGCTAGTTTGGATGCCAAGGAAAGATAGTTCAAAAGCAAATCTATGAGTGTTTGGGAAAATGAAGCTCCTTCAAAAATCTTTTCACAACCCCAGGTCACTTTTTTTGTTTGCCTTCCTTGCCAGTTCTGGCACTGTGAGGAATTAATGACTGTTCAAAATTCTTTAAGGATCACTCTTTTCTTTCTGACTTGATTTCTCTGATGTTCATATTAAAAGCTCCTAAAGGTCTTGTGTGGCTTCACTTTACTGCCTCATTTTTCTCCATCAGGTTTTAATGTGAAACTGGTAAAAAGCAAAGATGAATTAAAATGTGCATGAGTCATTACTGTGGAGCTATTATTATTCCTCTGTCTTCTTGTCACTCTGTTCATTGGTGTCACTGGTTACATTTTACTTCATTTCCTATACTTCTCAGTTGACAGGAATAATGAAGCCAGGACATTGTAATCTTGATTTTTCTGAATATGACATTTTGTGTTAGTAACTTTATTAGTTACTCTTTTTGCAGCACTTCATATTTGAGGTATCTGTGTGGCTCATCTTGTATCTTTATTCTTGTGTAAACTTTCAATTTGTCCTGTTAATAATTAAAAATGTGGGTTTGTGAGATCTTCCTGCCCTTTTTATTTAAAATTACTTTGAGCTTAGTCTCTGTTCATTTTTGCATAGATTTGTAGATTAAATTTCCAATTTGCAGTTCAAATTTATATCGGTTTCTCAGTTTGCTAATAGGATATAGTCAGTAGTGGTATTATGGTGTGCATTTTAGCCTTATTAGCACCATTCGCTCACCTTTTCTCCTCTATGTCTTCAAGTATTTATGTAACACCTACTATGTGCCACTGTTCAAGGCACTACAGATTTAACAGCAAACAAAATACACAAAATCTTTTCTCTCACAGATCTTAGTTATTGTGGAGAGAGATAGATAATAAGTGAAATCCAATAAAGGGTACGGTGAGTGCCAAGAAAAGTCATAGGTGGGTTATAATTTAAACAGAGGGTCAGAGAAGGTCTCATTGAGAAAGTCATATTTGAGCAAAAGCCTCAAAAAGTTGAAATATCAAATCAGGTGATCACAAGGAGGGAACAGTAAATTCAACCTGAGGAAGGACAATGTTCTCTGGACAACAAAGAGGCCAGTATTTCTCTGTGGAGTGAAGGAGAGGGGAGGTAGAAGATGAGATTAGAGTGTAGGAGGTGGGCAGCAGCCTGCACAAAGCTTTGTATGACATTGTAAGGACTTTGACTTTTACTCTGAAGAAGAAGTGAGAGTATTTGAACCAAAGGACTGACATGATCAGGCTTATGTGTGAAGGCATAATTCTGGCTTCTGGTTGCCAATAACTATAGATGTGCAACAGAGAAGGCAGGAGGCCAATTAGGAGATCTCTAATCTCTTTCTAACATGAGATCTCTGAGTTCACAAAATTAGTCTGGCTCTAATATTTTTGGAAATGTCATGACATTTAAGTGTATATTTTATTTGAAAAGGGGTAGTGCACAGCAACTTAGTACTGGGGACTGGAATCTGAGAGCCAGTGATTGGATCGTAATTTTGTCCATGAGCTGTATTTTTTTGTTTTGGGCAAGTTATCTAACTTCCCTCAGCTTGGATTCCTCTGTCTGAAAAACTGGGCTAGTAAGGTTGCCTATCGTAAGAATACATTATGAAGATTAAATTAGATAATACATGTAAAGTCCTTTGTATGGTTCCTGGCAAACAATAAACACTCATTACATATTAGCCATTATTATTGCTTGTTGCTTTTATTATTACATTTTTATATCATTTATGAAAGAATGTTACATTGGAATTGTGAACATAAAATTACACTTTTGCTAAAATGCTTAACATTGAAAAGGAAGTCATGGGTTCAAAATTTAGCCAGTTAGGTAAGTAGCATTTTTACCTTAAAGGATATTGAAGGACACAAATGATTTCTTTAGCTGGAAGTTTTAAGGGCAGGATAAACTCTTACCTGCCAGCTGGTGGCCATTGAATATTCTTACTGCTCTGATTCTGCTTGAAAACAGATTAACATACCAGATTAGCCCTACGAGGCAAATTTACTTTCTCACTGAGGGTGAATAATAACCCTCAAGTGCCACAATAGGTCAGTTTTACTCATTTAGCCCTCTGCCTAGCCACAACAGGAATACCTGAGAAAAAAAAATATGGTTAGGAAGGAAATGTGTTTGTATTGATTAACACAGCTGTCTTAGTCCATTTGGGCTGCTATAACAAAATACCAAAAACTGGGTAGCTTATAAATAACAGAAATTTATTTCTCACAGGTCTGGAGGACAGGAACTCCAAGATCAAGGCTCTGGCAGATTCTACTTTCTGCCATGTGAGGACGAAGAATTTCAAAGCAGCATCCTGGAAGCAGAGAACAGTCCTCGGCAGTTGCCAGCACCTTGATCTTGGACTTCTTAGCCTTCAGAACTATGAGAAATAAATTCCTGCTCTTTATAAATTACATAGTTTGTGGTATGTGAAGTTACAGTAGCACAGACAGACTAAGACATGGGCTTGCTTAGGATAGTGGCTTGAGAGAAAGATCAGGGATGAAAATTTTAATCTTGGAATATTCTGGAGAATCATAATTTTATATACTTTACTACATTGTTTTAGAATATGTAGCTTAAGTTTAAGCGTGAAAAATCTATTTAGGTTAGGTAGAATTGCTGATTCAATGCAGAGGTTGGATCAGAAAGAAGGAACATGCATGGGTGGAGGTGGGTCTGCATGTTGCAGTGGTGACCATACAGAATGGGATTAAGAACATTGATTTTACTGTCAAACACCGTCGGCTCAGGGTGCTGCTCAGCCTTTACCAGCAGTCTGACCTTGAGCAATTTTCTTCATTTTTCTAAGCCAGAGATAAAGGGGAGTAAACAATGTTACTTCATATATTTAGTAGGGATTAAATGAAATAACACATTTTATAGTCTTAGAACAATGCCTAGCACATGGTAGGTGCTGAATAAATGTCAGGTTGTGGTGCCATTATCATTATTACTATCAGCAAGTAAAAATTTTTAAATCCTACAGGAGCAATACAATTTTATTGGGGGGTTCATCTGACAGGAAAAGAAATCTGAACACTTTATATGAAATCCACTAAATACTGGGGCACTTCAATAGGAAATTTCAGTGAACAAAACTTATTTTGATCTTTCCTAGTTTCTCAAGTAGCTTTTACTTTCCCCATGGATTGATCTAACAACACAGGTTGTTATTTTCAAATTTAGTTAAAGGTGCATTCTGATGTTTGAACTTGATATGTAATTTCCAAAATATCCAAGTTATAGTATTCCATATATTGTATTGATTAAACAGCATTTTATGAATTATGTTTTTTTTTCTGGGAATACAAAGAGGAGTTAGGTCCTCTGATTACAAGGGGTTTAGTATCCAGATGAAAAGAAGATATAAACAAAGATCTATCTCAGTAATATTAGGTGTTAAGAGGTATATAAGGTTAAGAGATATAAGGTGGAAGCCCATAGGCCATGGACTTCCGGACTATGGAGAGGATACACCAACTAACTTTTCTTGGGCAAATCAGAAAAAGAATTACAAAACAATTACTTTGTACTGTAAATTTGCATTTCATTATTTAGGCAAGCACAGCCAAGAGAGGAATTTTCTGAAAGATAACAAAAATGCTATATGTCTTTTAAAAACTATTTAAAATAACCATAGTGGCAGTATAGTGGGGAGAGAGGAATTCTAACAAACACATTATTAGAGAAAAGTAAAGAAGAAAATGATGCTAGTTTTAAGCTCACATCCTGAATATGCATTTTGCTATGACTTAATTTATTACCTTGGAATAAATTACCTCATCTCTATGAATTTAGTCTCTTAGCTGTATTTTGGAATAGTTTCCTGCCTAATTTAATGATCCTTGCTGTAAGGTTCAAATTGAATACATGTTATATTAGTCATGATGACAACATAGCTCTAACATCTCTGTGCTATGTATCCAGCACAGGTGAGTGGAGGCTCTGCTCCACATGGTCATTCAGGAGTCAAACTGACAGTGATTATTTCATCTTTTAGACAAACTTTTTGGTGGATGTTGCAGGCAGCTTCTAAGGTAGTCCACTAGAAAATTCATTGCCTGGTACTCATGGCCTTAGCAATTCCCTTCCCTCAATTAACTTGCCTCTAACCTACAGACTACAACATTGAAGGCCATGTTTGTTCTTGGGTTGCAAAATGCTGTGGCTTCAGTCTTATTGGCCAACTTCCTCCCTTATTGGTTTTGATGAAGGAAGCCGTTATGTTGAAAGTTTGATGCAACAAGAAACTGAGGGTGGCCTCTAGCTAATGGCCAACAAGGATCTGAGACTCTCTGTGCAATAACCCTGAAGAAACTGAACCTAGCCAACAACAATGTAAGTGTACAAGAAGTAAATCCACTACCAGTTGAACTTTTAGATGAGATGCCAGCCCCATCTGACACCTTTATTGCAGCCTTTTGAAAGACTCTGAAGTAGAGGACCCAGTTTCAGGGCGATTAATCACCTACAGAAACTGAGAGATAATGTGTGTTATTTTAAGTTGCTAAATTTTGGGGTAATTTTTAATGTAACAATAGGTAACCAGTATAGAAAGGGAAAACATTCCTGAAACATGAAGTTCCAGATCTTAAATGCTTCCATCTAGAAATGTCAAAGGCTATGTCTACCGAAAGCCCTTTTTGCAGAACTCATCTCAAAGGCCCATCTAAATGCAAGAAGACTAGGACATGCAGGAAAACCTGTAAACTGTCTGGTGTGCAATGCTTTCTCTGCCACAGATGCATAAAAAAAGCACCATACACACTGAATTTTTAATGCATATATTCTTGGCCTAATACTAACCCCACATGTAACCATCCAGGTAACAACTTGTTACAATCACTGGCCAATGATTTTTTTATCTAATCTATTTTCAGCAACATCATAAAGTTAATCCAGTCTAATGAATGTCATTATCTGCATATGATATTTAAAATATTTTCATATTAACACACTACCATCTAAATTTTATTCTCCGATAAAACTACTTTATTTATGCAGTATTTATGGAGTATTATTTTTACCGATTTTATCAATGTTGAACAAACCTGGAGGGGTTCAAGATCCTGCTCAGGTCACAGAGCAAGGTAGTGGCAAAATTGGGTCTTAAGTTTAAGCGATCTTTCTCAAAATCCTGTGCTTTTTGATTTGTGAAGAATATATTTTGCTGGTCACTCTTTTTTAGTGTTAGATTACATAGCAAGTTCTTCCAAACAGCACGTATGCTTACCAAATAAAGCCATGCTGGTGAATATTAAAACTGCTAACTTGGATGCGTGGTGTAACAGATGCTCTAAAATGATGGCTATTATGACTGCAATCTTTAGTCAAATGCACAACTTTAACAGTAGCAGGATTGCAGTCATCTATGCCTTAAAAATAGAATTAATAAAATAATATTTCTATATAAAGAAGACTTATGTCTACAGTGCTTGCAAGGAGAACTCTTGGACTTTATTCCTGGACCAGATTCTATCTTGCTGTGAGACCTATGGCTCCACACTTGATTGACTTGTACCTCAGTCAATCCAGATGGAAAAATGGGGAAAACGCCAGAACTCACTGAAAACCAGATGCTGCATCTGAGCTGTGATTTCCTCAGTAAATGAATTACAAAACATTGTTCAAGAGTGTATGCATTTGAAATATTCTGGTGAGATAGTTTATCTCACATAAAAACATATACAGCTTGTAAATTCTACATGCTAATGGTTTGATCTTAATGACAATTGTAACTCATAGAAATATAATAAATTTTTTTGTTGGACTCTCTAGTGACAGGAACATTGTTTAGCATTCACTTTTTGCTGGGAGAAGGTGGGGGTAATTTTGTACTGCTAGAATCTGCCTTTGTGGGTATATTTGGCATGTGTTAATATAGATATAAATATATACATAAATACATAATGATACTTAAATATTTAATAAATTATGTGCTATAAATTATTAAAATTATTAAAATTAAAATATGTATTTTTGAACAAGGAAAATAAGCAAATAAAGCTCATAGAAAAGGGTAACCTATTATTTTCCATGGTACCACTTTAAGAAAATTTTGCACTTACATATCACACAGATGACAAGAACAAACACAGTTCCCCAGGAGAAAAGTCTACGATCAGTATGGGACAGTAAAAATTAATTGTTCTTATTTTTTTCATACCTACACTGGAAACATTGGAATGCCAAGTAAATGGAACTAGAGAAAAATAATTGGTGACACTGGAAATTCAAATCACATGCATTACAAGATGGTTTTTGCCTAAGAGTCAACCAACATGCAGACTTTCCGAGAGGCACATTGAGGGACCTTTTATTCTGTATGATGCTTCTTTGATATAGAAGGGCCAGCATTCCCATGGGGACACCATGGATCTCTGCCTGTCTAAGGCCACAGAACCAGATAGGGATACAGAGTGAGGACTAACTTTGGAAATTTGCAGTTATTTCAGGGCCAAGAAGCTCTACAAATAAAATTTTGCTAATTTTAACAAATAATGAAACTCAACTCTCTCTTTCTTTTTTATATTTTCCAGTAACAGTTTAAGAACAAAATTTGGGTTAAGCAACATTTTTAAAGTTGTGTATTCCTAAGTTACCGACTAACCTTATGAGACAACTAGTTGGGCTGAAACAGTGACTTCTAGGCATTTAAACTTAGGAGGAAAACATTAAAATCCCTGTAATAGGGGACTGACAAAGAGTTGACTATGTTTTATTTTGCTATAAAAGAATATTTTAAAGTGTCCCACAGCAAACCAACCACTACTTTTATCACTTTACTTTTTTTTTTTTTAGACAGCATCTAGCTCTGTTGCCAGGCTGGAGTGCAGTGGCACAATCTCAGATCACTGCAACCTCCGCCTCCCAGGTTCAAGTGGTTCTCCTGCCTCAGACTCCCAAGCAGCTGAGATTACAGGCACACACCACCACGCCCAGCTAATTTTTGTATTTTTATTAGAGACGGGGTTTCATCATGTTAGCCAGGATGGTCTCAAACTCCTGACCTCGTGATCCACCCACCTCGGCCTCCCAAAGTGCTGGGATTATAGGCATGAGCCACCATGCCTGGCCTATCACTTCACTTTTATCACATTATCTATTATGCTTATTTTTCTCATTTTTCTTTTGACTGGTTAGAACTTTTAAATGAATGTATATTAGTATGTATAGCAGTAAGTATTTGGAAATTAGTAAAAGCAGATTTGGTGATTGTTTCAAGCACATTTCCACACCTTTTCATGTAAGAATGATTTAATTTCAGTTCACTTGAAGAATTAAGGACACTTAATGAAAAAGATCTGACAGCAAAATTACAAAGTGGACAAAAGCAGTCATAGAATCCCCAGTTTGAATTACATGATTTTAGCTGAGATTATCTAAGGGGAACAGCAGGAGAAAAATTTCTGCTCAAAGCAGCCAGCTGTTTGGGCTGAGAGTTCCAATGTATGCAGATATGGAGATGGGAAGCTGGTGGTGGCTGAGAAAAATTTCAAGAATTCCTAGAAGTTCACAGTTTACTAGTTGAGAGTAATATGATACAGAAATTTTTAAGCCACCAGAATACAATTTCATTAAAGTTTCCATTCTTTCATCATGGGAAGAACCATACTACTCCAAGCCACAGTTGTTCATCTTGCATCTATTCTGTTCTACGTATAATTTATAGTGTATATGGAGATAAGTTTTGAAAGTGAAAATCTGATCATTTCCTTGCTTCTCATAGGGTAAATTCATTCTGTTAACATGGCTTACAAAACAGTTTGGTCTCCTACTATCTTCTCCATTCTCTTCTGTGACTAAACTCACCTTGCCTCATTTCTTTTCAACCTTTCTGACTTCTCCATCTTTCATAATTTCCCTTAGTTTTCCCTTCTTCGGGTGTCTGTACTGGATGTTTTCTTCTGCCAGAAATGTTTCATCCTCTGCCCTTGTACAAGCTGAAGATTTCTCCTTGCCTCATTGAGAAAGTCAATCTCTTTTCTCAAAATCTTTCATTTTAATGCTTAGAAATGCTTGCCATAGATGCAATTTGACATGTATTTGCATGATTACTTAATTAATTTGATATCTCTAGATAGAATTCTCTTTGAAATTCTACTCTAGATTCTAAGCTCTATGAGAACTGTGTCTCTACTGCCTACTGAATGCTATTCTAATATATTGGTTGAAAAATGAATGAATGAATAGAAGTATGTGTAGTATGGTATGTTTGAAAAAATGCAAATGGGATCATAGAATAGGCATTATATAGGTGATTCAGTAAGCATGAGATTTAGGAAGAACTTCATTAAAATAACTAGTTTTTGGCTGGGTGCAGTGGCTCACACCTGTAATCCCAGCACTTTGGGAGGCTGAGGCTGGCGGATCACAAGGTCAGGAGTTAAAGACCAGCCTGGCCAACATGGTGAAATCCCTTCTCTACTAAAAGTACAAAAATTAGCTGGGCATGGTGGTGCATGCCTTTAATCCCAGCTACTTGGGAGGCTGAGTCAGGAGAATTGCTTGAACCGGGACCCAGGAGGCGGAGGTTGCAGTGAGCCGAGATCACACCACTGCACTTCAGACTGGGCTACAGAGCGAGACTCCATCTCCAAAATAAATAAACAAACAAATAAATAAATAAATAGCTAGTTTTTAGTTGACGTGTAGTTAATTAGCACAGAAAAGGAAAGTAAATTGTTTACTTGTCAGTTAAATCTACAGTGTTAGGGCACATCACCTGCTTTAAGAAAGAAAAAAAAACACCTTCTCTCCCTTCAAGTGCTTCTTGTAGGTGTAATGACAATTTTATAGTCCATTTTCATCTTCTTTCTAGAGTGTGTCATATAGTTGAAACAGAAAATGCTTCATGTTTGGTGTTCTGTCTTGTTGAAATTGTATTTCCGATTTTATGATTACATCTAAAGCACAAATGACGCTTCAGACATGCCATTGTGCAATACATATAAGATACATTTTTACTCGATGAAAAGTGTATTTTTTGCCAAATAAATATGCCCCTCCCTTTCTAGGTCAAGTGGGATATTGTTTTCTTTTGTTACAGAGATCAGAGGCACTGACTGTCTTCCTATCTTTGCCTTATATCATAAAGCAAAAATAATCTCATTACAAAAAAAATGATAATTTTGTAGGTGATGGTATGCTTAGCTTTAGTCTTTCAACAATGTATACACACTTCAAAACATTATACCCCAAAAATATTGTCTTACTTTTTGTCATAAGTGAACACAACAGACTGGCTAAATTATAAAGCAAAGAGTTTTATTTGGCACGTGATTCTGAAGGATGGGAAGTTCAAGATCTAGGGGCTACATCTGGTGAGGGCCTTTATTTCCTGCATCATAACATGGTGGAAAACATGACAGGATGTGGAAGGGTGACAGAGGGTGAGAGTGTGTGAAACACAGACAAAATTTGCGCCAAACTTATCCTGTTCATAACTAAATCAATTGGAATACCTAACTTACTCCCACAGTAATGGCCTTAATCCATTTATGAGGGCAATGTCCCCATGACTTAATCACTTCTTAAAGTTCCCACCTCTCTATACAATGGCAATTAAATTTCAAAATGAGTTTTGGAGGGGACATTCAAACCATAGCAGATATATACAATTATTACTTGTCAACCAAAACTAAAACTAAAATTAAAAATAATGTCACCAGTTGTAACCAGAGTTCTGTTTTCCTTAGAGAGACGGGAGTTGTTTGGAGGAATCATCCACCTTGACTTATGTTCTCCTAAATTCCTGTGGCAAACCTAGTTTGAAATACACATGAATGTTAGATTTACTGCATAAATATTCAGTCCTCAATAATGATTTTTTTCTTGTCTTTTCAATAAGAATATATTTCTTGGAAAGGCTCCTGGGATCCTCATAGCCATAGTGCAGCTCAGTTTTATTTTTCAGAGGATGCATTTTATTTGTCTCAGAACATCTCTGTTTGGTATTGCTAACTGCAGAACAAAATAGCCAGCTTCCCTGCCCCAAGGAATGTCCCTCATGAATAAGCCCCATACTTGTGGGCCTCTACTTTGTACTTGAAATTCACACAAGTAGGCGCTAAATAAATTCCTAGGTGCCGAGTCTCTCCTGCAGACTCTGGCTGAGTGACAGATGAAAGAAGTATGCTGACACAGGTTATTTTGCCTGACAGCACGGCTAGGAGACCACACGGCTCCGCACCACCATCAAGAGAGTCTAGCAGCTGCCAAGAGAGTGCAGCCCCGATAAGCTGGTGATGCTTGCATTTATTTAGTACAGATTGAATGACAAAGGCTTACAGCAAACACAATTTGTGGGTAATAAACATTGTTGACCCCCCGAGTAGAGAGCAATATTGTGCATGAATGATCAAAGATTGGTTTCTGGAGACAGGAGTAAATGAATTTATCTAGATAAGTTCCTTTACATTCCCTTGTTATCTAACCCTTGCTCTTAAGATAATTTAACTGCCTTCAGCTAAATCCTCTTTTGAAGCTTTTGCAAAACCTTTTGGCCTTCCAATAACATTTGCATCTTTCCCTATAATTTTTATAGCTTTTCCCACCACTCTGACCCATCTCTGACATCTAGGTCTTGTAGGTAGTCCAGCTGTACTAATACTAAGTGAATATTCAATGATGGTTAATGATGGAGAGAGAAGGATGGTGTGCTGGAAAGAGCACCAAATAGGCTCTTGGAAAATGTGGATTATAGTTTTGGGTTGAAAAAGGTACTCAGATAACATCACTGTTCTAAACACAAAGTAACCAATAAACTATCATTACTATTATAATTGAGTCACTTGTCTGCAAAAAGATAAATTTTACTTCACTAACTAAAATGCTGTAAGTCTTTTCAATAAATCAAGGAGCCTGTGGGAAATAAGTGGACAGTGTAGAGTACTGATAACTAGAGAACATGTAACTTATTATAAAGTGATAAACAAGGTGAAATATTCTTCAGTCACTTCAAGGTGATTTTGAAAATCAATAACATAATGAGAAAATAAATTATTTTGCTCATAGACAAGTTTTTAGGTGATATAAATTGACCTATATATAGCTAAATTTTAGAATAGGAGTGATATGAAAAACATTTAGTAACTATATACAGACAATCACAAGTTATACACAAACAGTGATTCTTTGATCACTCAATCATTTTTGTAGCCATCGCAACTGGGAATATGTAGTTACCATGAGACACGCTCTTTGCCTTTGGTGTTCGAGCCACAGCAGTCTTCTTTAAGTTCCTCAAAGGCCTATTGTTCCTTCAATGTGTTTGTACAGGCTAATATCCCCTGCCAGGAAAATCGCTTGTCTACAATTATTCTCCCTACCTAATTAAATCTTGCTCACCTTTCAAATCTTAGCAAAAGTGTCACTTTCCTTAGAAAGCCTTTGTAGGTTATCTCAGACAAAATCAGGTCCACTTATTCTAGCCTTATAGCTTCTTATAATTTTCCTTCATAGTGATTATCTTTAAGTTATTCATCTGATGTTCATTTTATCACAGCCAGTTTTCCACTCCTCAGTGCGAGAAAGCAAGCTCCAGGAAGGCAGTGCCTCTGACTGTCAGGCTCACCTGCTTATTCCAGATGCCTAGCACACAGTTCCTGGCAGATCATCAGCACTGAATAACTGTTTGTTGGATAACTGTATGAATGAATTTCAGAATCCAAGCTATGGTATCTGAATGCCTTAATATGCTATTGTTTTGTTATAACTGCACTCCCTCACATTGTACTTATGTATTTAAATTGTCTAACTGAAGAATAACTAAGTGAGGTCAAAGGCCATGACTGTTCCACAAACCTGATAGAAACTCTGTAGGAGTTCAACAGTGGCTTTCTACGTGATGTCTATTGTTGCTAACTCATATTTACTTTTGTGTTTTTTCAAAGCTCTTCTCTTATGCTTAGAATATGTATAAAATATAGTAAAATTGATTTTTGGGGGTCACAAGTGAGGGTCTGATATTCAGAGAGGTTTTCTGACCTTGCCAGATAAATTAATAAGGTGCAGGGACAGAGGTAGGAAGACAACTCAGATCTCCAGTATTAGTTCACATTTCTGACTTATGCAGTGCTCAGGAAAGATAATGCCACTTGTCAGAACCCTACCACTGTGTTCTTGGCCAGGACTGGAGCAAGTCCAGAATGCAGGGTCTTACATCAGAGAAATGAAAGAGGAGGCAGTTCAGAGAAGGAGGTCCCAGGGACTCCCCATATGGAAGTGCAAATCTAAACATGAAGCAAAGATTCAGGTTAAGATCATAAACTAGAAATGAAATGGCAAGTTCAAAGGTCAGAAAACTTGATCAACTGGGGTGCAAAATTGGCAGGTCAGGCAAGAAGAGACAGAAGTGAGGAAATAAGGAGTCTCTATACAGCCAATAGGGAAAAGGCAGGTATGGGTAGGTTTTGGAAAGTTTTCAAGTTTAAAATTTTGATTTTGTTTATTTCCTGTGGGGTCTTATCTATTGAATTATCCTAGTTCTAGACCTTCCTCACACCTATGCTCCCAGCTATGTGCTAGAGCCCATTTTCTATGTTATGTTGTATAGTCATTGGAAAAGAAGTTCAATCACACAGATAATTCCTAATTTCTACAGGATTTACCAGCTCCTTTTTTCAGGCGTGACCTGGATATAGAATTATAGTTTGCATTTAATATCTAGTGATCTTAGAAAAAGAAATGGTACAAGTTAATTATAAACATGTTCTAAATTTTGTAGTGAATAGTGAAGTAGATCAATTATCATAGAATCAGAATCTTAGTCATTTTTGTGAAGTTAACATTCCTCTAGAAATTTTAAGTGTCTAATGTATGCTATAGTTAAATGGATCCCTCATGTGTTTATCCTCAGCTTCAATACTTATTCACATTCTGTCATTCTTGCTTTGTTTAATAGTTTCATTAGTACTGTCTTTCAAACATTGGGATGTTTGCTGTGACCAATGCTAAATGTGCAGTGGTAAGCCCATGTCAAAGTGGGACTTCTTTCTATATTGTTCAGAATATTCCAGAAGGGTTTACTGAAATGAGCACATTGCCTCTTAGATGAAGGCAGAATTAAGGGATTTTCTTCAAAAGAAAGAGCCTCTGACATATTGAATCTTGCCCTTTTAAAATGTGTGATGCCAGGGACAGAAAACCAAGGATGTTGCTTTGGTGAAGCAATATCCTTTCTAAGAAATACCAATTCTATACATTTAAAATAATAAAACAACATGAAGCATACCTGTTCCTAAGAATTACATGTGTTTCTACAAAGCTAAATACAAAATGCAAAGCACAGAAAAAAAATGCTTTTTTTTGTGGAGGAAAAATGTTCTTTCTCTCTCTCTTTAGGACAAATCTGCACTGAGTCCTCTAGGATATCACCATGTCTTAGAATAATTTTTATATCTTTTAATGTTTAACGTCACCTTTTTCTTTTTCCTTTGTACCTCTGCCAGTGAACCCAGAGTTCAGTACATAGCAGGTGTTTTGTAAGTGTCAGTTGAATTAATTTAATTTGTTTTCTTGAACTAATTTTTTTATTTCTCAATTGATTATGCCAGAGTTACCAGCCTCCTCACTACCCTATTCTGTTTTTAGAGTAATAATCACTGCCATAACGTGCAGTTACATTCCCTGCCATATATAACATGATGCTGCTGCTGCTGCTGATGCTGATGATGATAATGGCATCATCCCCTTGCCCCTTGATTTGGTTTTTAAATGAAATACAGTCAATGAGAAAGTATCCCTGGCATCGTCTTTGAATAATTCCCTTCCATGCATATAAAACTCTGTCATGCTGCTTTGCATAACTTTACTACCTTTTAGAAGTCATGTTGAGATCTGTCATTGTGGAACACGTTGAAGCCCTGTGGGAAAGGGAGATGTTTTAATAGTTTCTACTAAAAATGACATTTTTCTCTTAAAAGTCTCCATTGTGATTGTGACCCTGACAAAAAAAGGAGGATTATTTCTATTCTTGTTCTTTTTAATGAGGTGCAGGTGGAATAACTTACGGACACTAGAACATGGGAATTAAGATCTTTTTTTCTTTCAAGTCAATCTGTTGTCAGAGAAGAGATGGATATTTGGTGAATTAGAAATAAAATGTCCATTTATAATTGATCTGATACAACTATTGGCATGCTTAGTGTGAAACTCATATTATCTTCCACTTCCAAGGACAAAGACTCACTTGTTAAAATTGTATTATTGGTAGAAAAATTTTAAAACACCTATAGCAATATACAGTAATGGGTGGCAAAATGTATGATGGAGCATTTTAAAAGAAGCTAGGAAGATAAATGAATATTTATAGGTAACTGCAAGTGCTGATCCTCTAACTACAAGTATTCACTGAACTTCATGAAGGCAATAATTACTTCTTTTTGGAATTATCATGACAAAATGTATCTGTAAAGTTGTTATTACCTAGATCTCCAGGAAGCACAAGTTACAAACTTCTATAAATTAGGCCTTCTGAGATTTTAAAGATATTTATAAAATATTCTATATAGGAAACATTGAACCTATTTCTGAAAGCCGGGAGTTTTAGTGCACTTTATGTTAGAGTATTCTTAAAAAAGAAAGCAAGAAAGATTTTTCCTCTCAATTTTTCTTCATTCCCTTCTGTAGATGTCACTGTAGCATAGGGAAAAGCAAGACAACTTCTTTTCTTTTGAAAATATATGACTTCTACATGCAAATGAAAGAAAGTGGTGATTTGATTTATTATGCCATGGTTGTCATATCAACAATACAGTTTCCAAGCAACTAGCAGAATAAATTATTTTATAGATTTATTTACTTAACCTCATAAAATGGACCAAATGGAAGACACTTTTTTCACCCGTGATTATGTGGTAATTAAAAAAAGTCATTACACAGAAATTATGCATTAAATTCACATTACTAAGAAGAGTTCAGAATGAATCATGTGAATGTAATCAATGCCAAAAGACTTAATGAAGATTTCCTGCTTACAAGAAAGCATTGTTGTTTCATGTTTATGTATTTTCAATAATTGGTTTCCAGGATCTATACCAATTATTTGAGTAAAATGGTTCCCATTTCATTCTTCCAAGAGGCTAACATAGGCAGTTTTCACTATTATGCCCTTTAAACACTCTTCAGAATAACCTCCTTATAGAACCCTGGTGTTCATTCTATTAGACGTACTGCTTAGAATCCTCTACTTATGCAAACGACCTGTACCAGTTCTTAAAAAGACTTCCAAAAAGTTACTAACTTATTAGAAAATGAAGCATTGATTTTTTTTAAGCAATTGCCCTGGGGATGTTAGAGGCTTGTTAGACATTCACAGTCCATATTCCCAAAACATCTCTTATGTAGTTTAAACATTTTCATTGCTATTTTTGAGGTGCTGCTTATGTCTCTACTTGGGAAAAGCCTGACCTACATGTAGCAGAGATAGTCTTTTGTACTTTCCTTTTATTAGAACTTTCTCCAAGGTTTTTTATTTGCTCAGATTGCTGATATGTGTGTGTATGTGTGTGTGTATATATGTGTGTGTATATATATATATATATATATATGACACATTTACCAAACTTCTTAGGCAAAGGAAGCAAAAATCTGCATGCAATCCTGGGACAAGGTATTTTGTATCCATCTACCACAAACATATTTGTTGACAGAGAAAATTAATATTGCCTATAGAAGGCATCCCTTTCCTTTGCTTTGGCAAGGATGCTTTTTTCTTTCACTTTGGTTGCTTCTGGAAATATTATTTTTTCAGACGCCCAAAGGCTGTACATAGCTAAAGAATTAAGAAAAAACACTTATATTAAAGAATTAGTAACCAAACCACAGCATTCAACTAAATTTTTCTATTTAAAATACTGACAGAAAGATAACTATAATTTTCCAAGCTACATGTAGTGGGACATTTTCTCTGACCAATTCAGATGCATCTGGTCCATTATTAACATCTTTTATAACCCTATAGACATTTCAGAGAGTCAGCAAGTGGAAGGAAAATATTTCTTCCTTCAAAAGACATTGTCCTTATATTATTATGCTTGCAACACAATTGCCAAGTAGTGCTGTTTCTGGTACTTAGTCCAACTTAGACTGTGGATATTTTCTTCCTTTTTATTTGTTTGTTTATCTTCTCAAGTCACTATTGCCTCAGAAGAAAGGAAAATCAATTTTGAGATTCTCGCCAGTGCTGCATATTCCCAGGCATTACAATAAACATTCTTCGTATACTGTGCTTGTTTTCTTGTTACCTGTCAATGCTCTGCTTCATTGCTTCTGTATCTTATTCTCAACATTGTGCTCTTAGGCAAATTTTTCTTTCTTTTTTTTTTTTTTTTTTTTTTTTTTTTCAGACGGAGTCTTGCTCTGTCGCCCAGGCTGGAGGCAGTGGCGCAATCTCGGCTCACTGCAACCTCTGCCTCCCGGGTTCACGCCATTCTCCTGCCTCAGCCTCCCGAGTAGCTGGGACTACAGGCGCCTGCCACCACGCCCGGCTAATTTTTTGTATTTTTAGTAGAGACGGGGTTTCACCGTGTTAGCCAGGATGGTCTCGATCTCCTGACCTCGTGATCCGCCCGCCTCGGCCTCCCAAGGTGCTGGGATTACAGGCGTGAGCCACCGCACCCGGCGCAAATTTTTCTTATGATCTTTCTGGGGAAGTCAATCTATTTGTATCTTCTCCTGTCATAAAAAACAAGTGGACAGATTTTTTCCTCTTTACATTTTTACATAAAATTTTGTTTGTAAAACTGTGTCTTTGATTTCTCAACGGAACTCATAAGCGATCACATGTGTTTTCCTGTAAGCAGACAATGAAGTTTGTAATTACTTCAGGAAATTAGGTGGAAGATTTAAAAATGCAGAGGAAGGTTTCCTTTTTTTTTTTTTTTTTTTTTCAAGTATAATTTCCCTTAAGTCTTGGTGAAACCGTCTTGACTAGTGCTTGGCAAACTTGAATGTACCTTAAAATCTCCTGTGGATCTTGTATCAAGGTCTATTCTGAATCTGCAAGTCTTGGAAGGGTCTGGACCTGAAATCCCAGCACTCAAGTTATGCCTAAGGTACTAATCTGCACACTACTCATTGAGTGGGAAGATCCTCGAATATTTCCACTTTGCAGATGAAGAAGCTGAAAAATAGAGTGCTGAATGGACATATCAAATGTCTTTTTCCGGTTATTATTCTATCCATCTAGAACTTAAGTGTCCCAAAACAAAAGTGGCCATGTATTTTTCTGTGCAGTTTACATAAAGAGATGGATGATGCCAATTTTCCTCTTCTTGAAACCAGTTCCAGTTTCACTTCTCTCTATAAGTGAATTAAGATTCTTTTCTCATCATGAAAATTCCCATGTTTATTTATCAATAAAATTAACATAGAAGACAATTGAAGCATAATATTTTAAAAGCTCAAACTATCATTTTCCTTTAATCTGAGAGGCAGAGGTTTGGGGAAATTAAGCGAATTAATCTTAGAGTAATGACAAATTATTTCATAGCAAACGCAGGAACATTTTAACACCAGGAGATCTTCATTATGTTTTAATATAAGCTTTTTTTAAATATGAGCTTTCCAATAGTAAAATAAGTGCAATAAAACAGATGGGTTTAGACATTGATGGTGCAGCAATTAATTTTCTTTCATGATTCATTTTGCTGGCAGGGAAAAAGCAGTAATATAAAGGCATGAATGTTTTTCTCAGTGACTTCAAGAAAACCCTGCCATTTTGAAAAAAAAATCTGAAATTAGGAGAATCTACAGCTGATTCTTTCTCCCATTTCGAATGTTTTCTACTATAGTTGGGCCCTTGTTATTCAATATATATCCCTTTCAGAACATTAAGGGTGGTCAATGGAAACTGGCTGTGCTGCACAGGATATTTTAGGACTCTGAACCCAGGGACCTTTGATGGTTGGCATTTGTCCATTCACCAGTAACTATCTGGAAATGAAGGTTAATAAGAGATTGACATTTCAAGGGTAAATGATTTATTTGTTATAGTTAATAAGAAGTTATGCACCTGGGTCGTGTGTGGTATCATGAGTAAAGATGGAAGGAAGAAAGGATTTTGGCGAGTGGGAACAGAGACATACAGCCTTAAAGCAATGCTAAAGAAGGGCTTTCCAGGGAGGAACAGGGAAGGAAAGCAAAGAAAAGTTTCAAAATAAGACCAAGTCAGCCTCAGACAGAAACACGTTGAGTCACACGTATTTGGCAATTACAAATGAATGGCTTTCCAAAGGAGTAAGGAAGAAGCTTAACTTGAGCTTCAGAGATATCAGAATATGCTTCCAAATTGTAGCAAAACTTGGGTATGTAGGTGCATTTTGCTGTGAAGAAAATCTATAATTTTCAATAGATTCTTAAATGGACTTATGACTACAACAAAATAAGGCCCAGTGACTTACAATAAGATTCAGTAACTTAAGGGGTTGGGGGGGGAGATGATGAAAAAATTCTCCTTGGTCCCGCATGTATTTTGATTCAAGATTACTCTTCTGTGCAAAGAAATGCAGAAATCAACATGTCTTGCTCTTTTATAGAGATGGAGTTTACTTTATGTCTAATACCTTGGGCTTTTTTATATTTAACTTAAAGCAGATGAGTTCTTAAGAAACTTTGTATAAAAGTTTTTTTCTGTGAGAATTGTGCAAGTGTGAATTTTAGAAATATGGAGAGGATTAAATTAACGTACCCATAAATTTGCTGAAGTCAAGAGGCAGAGCTTTTATTTATATAGTATTGATAAAGAAAAATTAAAACAGGAAGGAAAATAGAGTTTGGAGTAGATATAGACTTTTCTGCCTAATTATAATTAATTAGCTTAGTTTGTTTGAATCATAACAGCAAAATATATAGCTTTTTCTCATTTTTAATAGCTCTTCTTCCACTGAATCTATTCTGGTATTTTGTATTTAATTTTGGCCTAGCTCAACCCAATGCAGTCCATTTATTAAATAATTTATTCAATGAAAATTTCTTCAGTGCCAACTACAAACTTAGCATTGTTTTAAATTCTAGTGGGTTGAGAGAGTAATATTCCAGTAAATAAAATTCATTGCTTCTACCCTGAAGCAGCTTACAGTTTCTGAAGAAATATATTAAGTAACAATATGTGGCAGAAAGGGTATGATTGTCATATTGGTTCTACAGAAAGCAAATATAATGGGATTTCATGCAGTGTTGGAACTCTGCAAAAAGTTTCCATCAATTAGTAGGAATGATGCTAGTGTTTGGAGAATGAATAGCATTTTATCACTGTAAAATGTGTTCTTCATTTCTCTGTTGTTTATTGATTGTGTTCCCTTCATATATTACTACTTTCAAATTTCTATTTCTGAATCTGCAAAAAAGAAACCAAGCTCATTCCTCTTTTTGAGGTTCTTAGTGACGATTAGGGAGGTGATTGCATAATAGATACTTAATGGAAATGGTACTGAGAAGGCGACCGTTTACACCAGAATGAACTAGAATTAACCACACTAGGCTTTTGTATTTTAATTTCCTCATCTACAAAGTGAAGGTGTGATTTATAATTAAATACACACACATGCACACACATTTATGTCTAGTTTAGCTTTGTAATAAAATGCATGTTACTAAAACATCAATTTAGCCATGCTCCATGGTTTCATTTGTCTTCTTGTTTATTCATAAGTGACTAAGCCAGACATATCTGCTCTCACTGATCTTAGCTTTTAAATAGAAAAGACATGAGAAAAGGTCTTTCTGCTGTGGTGGAAGAAAAATAGAATACTATGTTATAGAATTAAGTGTGGGAATTGAGTTGGGAAATTGGTATAATTGCTTTTCAAAAAGACAAAATCTTTTTTGTATACTAGTAAAACTATGTAAATCTAAAATATATTTAATCTTGTAAAGATAACCTACAGAATGGGAAGACAAGTTTTGCAAACTATGCATCTGACAAAGGTCTAATATCCAGCATTTACAAGGAACTCAAACAAATTTAAAAGAAAAAAAAACAATAAAATGTGGGAAAATGGCATGAAAAAGACACTTTTCTAAAGAAGATATACATGCGGCCAACAATCATGAAAAAAAGCTCAACATCAGGGATCATTAGAGCAATAAATGCAAATCAAAATCAAAATGAGATACCATCACACAATAGTCAGAATGGATGTTATTAAAAAGTCAAAAAATAATAGATGCTGGCAAGGTTGTGGATAGAAAGGAACACTTTCACACTATTGGTATAAGTGCAAATTAGTTCAACCGTTGTGGAAGACAATGTGGTGATTCCACAAAGACCTAAAGACAGAAATATCATTTGACCCAGCAATTGCATTACTGGGTATATATACCCAAAGGAATATAAATTATTCTATTATTAAGATACATGCATGCATTATTCATTGCAGCACTATTCACAAGAGCAAAGACATAAAATCAACCTACATGCTTATCAATGATAGACTGAATAAAGAATTTGTGGTACATATATACCATGGAATACTCTGTAGCCATTGCAAAGAACGAGGTCATGTCCTTTGCAGGAACTTGAATAGAGCTGGAGGCCATTATTCTTAGCAAACTAACACAGAAACAGAAAACCAAATATCACATGTTCTCACTTATAAATGGGAGCTAAATGATAATAACACATGGATACATAGAGGGGAACAACACACACTGAGGCCTATCAGAGGTTGGAGGGTGGGAGGATGGAGAGGATCAGGAAAAATAACTAATGGATACTAGGCTTAATATCTGGGTGGTGAAACATGTACAACAAGCCCCCATGATACGAGTTTACCTATGTAACAAAGCTGCACATGGACCCCTGAACTTAAAAAAATAAAGTAAAACAAAATCTATTTATTCTTTTGAAAAGATAATTATGTTGATTATTTTTAAGTTTGAGATGATTTTGCAATCCAAGCTTTCTGTAGGCTCAGAATACAGTTGTCATGCGGCACGTTTGCTTAATAATTCAACAACGTTGTTGTTGTTTCATTGCAGTGGACCTCACAGTGAATATCACAAATTACATTAGGCATAATAGAGCAGATATCTTCAAAGCAATTTAGGAGGAGACTATTTCCCCTTTTTCACTATATCAAAAGATTTTCTGTTGTCGAACTTGACAGAAGCAGACAAGGCTCTGCTTTTCAGGCAAATACTGAAATCTTTGTGGCATTTACATTTGCACAGAAAAATAAAGACAAAATGTCTGCTGGATTACCCAACATTTGATGGACAGTAGTATATCTAAAGGATTAAGAAGTAAGTGCCATTTGTGTTTTAAAAAATTGACCATGCATTAGGTACTGAATTTGTGCACGACTATTTTGGCTTAACAAAATTTATGAGAAGCAGTGATCCCAGTAACTTGAGTTTTTCTATTTCTTGAAAGCAACAGAGCAATTAATGGTTATACATGATTACTTTATCTCTGGTCATCTCATAAGACATTAAATACTAGTCAGGTTAGAGTCATTAATCAGAAATATGAGTATATCTTGGAAAAATCGAACTAGCTATCATTCCTAGTATTTTACAGCACATTAACAAATTTAGTGTTTGTATTAAATGCTTTTTTTTCAATATGACAGAATAAAATACTGTAATTACTAATAGCTTCCAGGAAGTACATGAAAAAGTATTGGATACAATGGTATGGTATTAGTTTAAAAGATTATCTGCCTGTATTGGATTGATGTGGGTGATATCTCCCTGTTCTCATAGATACCAATGCATGGGATTTAAACTATTTAAAAAGACAACAGTGAAAAGATGCATTTAGGATATTTTTGGTCAGATATAACAATAGATCATATATTTCAAATATGAATCTCTATTGAATGGTCAAATATGGCCATGGAAACAAGTCTAATTTGATCATTTCTGTGAGGCAGTTTTTTTGTTTTAGAGGGTAGGAGAATTAAATATCTTTATCTGAACATGTCTTCAGGACAGATAGGGGTTTTCATTGCTCTATGAATTCTCTCTAGATTAGGACATCACGCCAAATTCTGCCATATAGCAGAGTGCCTCTGATTTGTCATTTAAGTCCTCTGGGATTCAGGCTTTTTCTCTACATTAAAATGAGAAGCCTAAAACAGCATGATCTCCAAGGTCCTGTGCTGTCCAAAATGCTATAAAGTCTATGGATATCAACTGAAAATGTTTGCTAAATATGTGTGTGTGTGTGTTTGGCAGAATAGTGATTTTTAGAAATATTACCAGGGAAAAATTCTTAGTCAATATTTTAAAAATGCATGTAAATTCCACAAAAATTAAAAATTAAAATGCATATGTCTCCTATATAATTTCACTGAAAGAAGCACAAAAATAAACATTAAGAGAAATTGTAGTCTTTTAATAAAAGAAAGAGGTTTCCTAAATAGAAAGCATTTTCCATGGACCTTCACATAATTATGATGTCTATTTTAAGTTATTCCTAAAATAATTGTTTGTATGATTTTGACTTATTAAAAAGTTCAATTTTAAATTTTGGTGATATACAGTGCTGTGGCTGTTTAAACTGAAAGTGTTCCTAACAAATCATCTGCATCTGCAATAGTTCTAACAGAAATTGATGTCCTAATTTTTCCAATAGGCAACTGAGTATCAGAGCAGTTAAAGGGCTGTCCATAGTCACTTAATAAATTGAGTTGAGGAAATGTGGAATTTTGGCTGCCTGATGTGATATTCTTTCTGTTACTCAGATTGTCTCTTAGAATGAATAATTTATTTCCATTGATGGGCAAGAGTAGCTGGTATAGAAGTCAAGAATAGAGACTGAAGGGTCCAATAACATTCTCAATTCAAATATTTAAGGTACATGTATTGGATAGGAGCACAATATTTTGAATGAGTAGTAGCTCTGATTGAGGAAGGAAGCTACTCATAACTGGTTGAAGAAGAATGCAACTACAAATAGGAAATTATTTTCGGCAACTGAATATATAGTCTGAGAACATATGGTCATATAAAGAAGCAGGCAATAGCCCAGATAAACAAATCAACCCTAGAGAATATAGATGCAGATTTACATAGATATAACAAAGAAAGTCTTTTAAAAATTGAGGCATAATTGACATACATTATAGTGTTCATGTTTCAATTACACAATTTAATGTTTTGACATATGTGTACATCCATGAAACCATCACCACAACAGAGAGTAAACATATTGATCACCACTAAAGTTTTCATTATGCTCCTTATAATCCCTTCTTCCTCCTCCCTTCCCAACTAGGCAATTGCTTATCTGTTTTCTATTGTTATAAATGTTTACATCTTCTAGAATATCATATAAATGGCATACTAGAGTATGCATTCATCTTGTTTGTATTTTTTTTCCACTTAGCAACTCTATCTTGTAGTATGTGTTAGTAGTTCGTTACCTTTTATCATTGAGTTATATATTCCATGATGTGAATATACTAGAGTTTGTTTATCCTTTTACCTGTTTTGGGCATTTTTTTTTTTTTTGCAGTTTGAATTTTTACAAGTAAAGCTGCTATGAACATTTGTGTGTAAGTTTTTGTGTAGTTTGCATAGACATATAGTTTCTTTCTCTTGGGTAAATAAATGCCAAAAAGAAAAAAAAGAGAATGGCTGGCTCATGAAGTAGGTATAGGTTTAACTTTTTGAGAAGAAGCCAAACTTTTTTCCAAAGCAGGTGTGGTGAGTAACATTCTCATGAGCCGTGTATGAGAATTTCATTTTCTCCACATATTTGCCAGTGTTTTTAATATTAGTCATTTTAATAGGTTTGTAGTGACATTTCATTATAATTTGAATTTGCAGTTCCCAAATTATTAATGATTTTGAGCATTTTTTCATATGCTTATTTGCTGATAGTATATCTTCTTTACTGAGGTGTTCATTTACATTTTTTATTCTTTAAAAAAAGGTTGTCATCTCTTAAGATTGAATTTTTAAAGTTATTCATATATATTTAAAAAGTTGTTTTGAAATTTTTGTTTCTCTCTCTATGGATTGTCATTTCCATCTCTTAAAAGTATCTTTTGAAGAGCAAAAGTTTTTAATTTTGTTAAAATAAAATTTATCAATTATTTCCTTTTATATTTTATGCTTGTGATAGCTAACCCAAGTTTATCATGATTTTCTCTTTCTTTTTTTAAGAATTTAATGGTTTTATTTTAATATTTTCATATTTAGAGATTTGGTCAATTTTGTTAATTTTTACATGGTGTAATGTATGAATTAAATTGAATTTTTTGCATGTGCATATTAAATTCATGATTTATTGAAAAAACCTCTTCTTTCTCCACTGAATTGGCTTTCATTTTTTTCAGAAATCAGTATATATATTATATATATATTATATATATAATGAAATGATTATCACAATCAAGTTAATTAACACATCCATTACCTCACATGGTTACCGTGTGTGTGAGAATACTTAAAATCTACTCTCAGCAAATTTCAGGCATGCACTATAGTAGTATTAACTATAGTCACCATGCTATATAGTAGATCTCCAGACTTATCCCAGCTAACTGAAACTTTGTATCTTTTGACCAATATCTTTCCAGCCCGTGGCAACCACCGTTATACTCTCTGCTTCTACGAAAGTTTGACTTTGGCTTTTTTTTTTTTTTTTTAGACAGAGTCTCGCTCTGTCACCCAGGCTGGAGTGCAGTGGCGCGATCTTGGCTCACTGCAAGCTCCGCCTCCCAGGTTCATGCCATTCTCCTGCCTCAGCCTCCCAAGCAGCTGCGACTACAGGCTCCCGCCACCACGCCCAGCTAATTTTTTGTATTTTTAGTAGAGACGGGGTTTCACCGTGTTAGCCAGTATGGTCTCGATCTCCTGACCTCGTGATCCGCCCGCCCCGGCCTCCCAAAGTGCTGGGATTACAGGCGTGAGCCACCGCGCCGGCCGACTTTTGCTTTTTAAGATTTCAAATATAAGTTATATTATATAGTACTTGTCCTTTTGTGTCTGGCTTATTTCACCTAACGTAGGTCGTTCAGGTTCATCCATGTTGTTGCAACTGGCAAGACTTCCTTCTTTTTATGTCAGAATAATATTTAATTGTATGTATATGTATGTATGTGTGTGTGCATATGTATGCGTGTATATAATATTTTCCTTAGCTATTCATCTGTCAATGGACATTTAGGTTATTTCTATATCTTGGCTGTTGTTAATAATGTTGCAGTGAATGTGGGTGCAGATATCTCTTCAAGGCATTGATTTTATTTTATTAGGCTATATAACCGTAAGTTGGATTTTTGGAGCTTATGGTAGTTCTATCTTTAATTTTTTGAGGTATCTCCATACTGTTTTTCATAATGGCAATATCTGGAACTTCTTGATTCCTGTATCCTTTTGATAAGTCCTGAAATCAAGTAATGATTGTTCTTCAACTTCTCTTTTTTTTCCAAATTTATTTTGACTATTCTAGGTACTTTAAATTTTTATGTGAATTTTAGAATCAGCTTGTCAATTTCTATAAAAAGTCTGTTATAATTTTGATTGGTACTATATTGAACCTATAGTCAGTTTGAGAAGAATTGACTTTAATATTAAGTATATTTGTTATTAATATTAATATTAATATATACCCCATGAAGAGGTATATTTCTCCATTTACTTAGGTCTTTTAAAATTTCTCTCAGCAACATTTTGTAGTTTTCAATATACAGATCTTTAACATGTTTTTTCATATTTATCCCTAAGTATTTCAAATTATGGTGCTATTTTACATATTTTTTCTTTTTTGATCCTCAGTTTCCAATTGATGTTTGTATATAGAAATGCACCTAATCTGTGTATATTCATCTTGTATCTACAACCAAGAAACTCAATGAACTTTGGTAAGTTGCTAAACCCACTTGTTAGTTTGAGTAGCTTTTTTGATATAGTTTTTATCAGTTTTCTGCATACATGATCTTATTGTCTGTGAATAAGGATATTTTCAATTCTTTCTTTATTATGTAAGTAAGGCTTTTTTATCGCCCTATGCCACTGGCCAGACTGTCCAGTATAATGTTGATTACAATAACTTAAAATAGAAGTTGAAGAAGAAAAATATAGAAGCGGTAATAGCAGGCATATTTTACTTGTCTCTGATCCTAGGGGGAAAGTTTTTAATCTTTCACCCTTGAGCATGATGGAAGCAGTAGGTTTATCATGTATGACCTTTATTAGACTGAGGATGTTTTTGTTCCATTCTTAGTTTTCTGAGGGCTTTTTAACAAGAATGAACGTTAAATTTTTATCAAATGCTTTTCTTTTCCGAGGGAGGTTTAAAGTTTATAGAACGCATCTTTAACTTACCACAGTCTACTTTCAAGGATATTATATATCGTTTCACATCTAGTATAAGAACTGTACTTCGTTTCCTAGGGACTTTCTAACAAAAGTACCATAAACTGTCTTAACACATAGAAATTTCTTCTGTTGCATTTCTAGGGGCTAGGATTCTAAAATCAAGTTGTCAGTAGGGCTATGCTTCCTCTGAGACTCTGGGTTAAATCCTTCCTTTCTTCCTTCTAGCTTCTGGTGATGGCCCTAGATGCTTGCTGTTTCCTGTTCTGTAGCTGCATCCTTCCATTCTCTGATGTCACATTCTTCCAATACGTCTGTCCTTGTATCTCTTTTCTGCTTATAAAGTCATCAATCATATAGCATTAAGGCTATACTCTATTTTAATATGATCTCATCTTATCTTAAATAATTAAAACTTCAATAATCCAATTTTTAAATAAGGTCATAATCTGAGGTTCCAGAAAGGACATGGAACTTTTAAAGAATCTATTCTATTCAGTACAAGAACTTTGCAATAGTATACTTCCGTTTCTCCCCTATAGACCTTGTGGTATTGTTCTCATACATTTACTTTTATGTGTTATAATCCAATCCCATTATACTGTTATTTTACTTGGATAATTTTATTAACTATAATATTTTAAATTGATATCTAAGTGATATATTAGCTTCCTAGGACTGCCGTAGTAAACTACCACAAACTATTGCTTAGAACAACCAGAATTGGCCTGGCATGTTGGCTCATGCCTGTAATGCCAGCACTTTGGGAGGCTGAGATGAGTAGTTGACCTGAAGTCAGGAGTTCGAGAACAGCCTGGCCAATATGGTAAGACCCCATCTCTACTAAAAATACAAAAAATTAGCTGGGCGTGGTGGCGGGCTCCCATAATCCCAGCTACTCGGGAGGCTGAGGCAAGAGAACCCTTGAACCCAGGAGATGGAGGTTGCAGTGAGCTGAGATCATACCATTGTATTCCAGCCTGGGCAACAAGAGTGAAACTTCATCTCAAAAAACAAACAAACAAAAACAAAAACAAAAAAACAGAATTTATGCTGTCACAATTTTGGATGTCAGAAATTTATAATGAATTGTGAACAGGTTTGTTTCCTCCGTAGGTTCTGAGGGAGAATCTGTTTCCTGACTCCCTCCTAGCTTCTCTTGGCTGCTGAACATCCCTTGGCATTTGTTGGCTTATTGCACCATAACTCTAGTCTCTGCCTCCATCTTCATATGGCCTTCTACCTTGGGCATATGAGTGTCTAAAATCTTTCTTTCCTTTACCATATAAAAACACCAGTCTTTGGATGCAGGGCACATTCTTAATTGAGAATGCTCTCATCATGAAACCCTTAACTTAGTTACATCTGCAAAGGCCTTATTTCCAAATAATGTCATGTTCACAAATATCAAGAGTTGGGACTTGGATATATCTTTTGGGGAGTCATTACCAACTCACTACAATTCATGTACCATAAATGCCACACTTTTAAAGTGTACAATTCAATGGATTTTAGTATAGTCACAAAATGATATAACCGTAAACATTATCTATTCAGAATATTTTCTTCACTTCCTCAAAAAATTCCTTTGTCAATTTTGCCCTCTTTTCTGAAAGTTATCTTTACGCTTATATAACTCTAGCTTGAAATTTTTTTTCTTTTGGTATTTTAAAGATATTGTTCCAGTATCTTTTTGCTTACATTGTTTATAAGAAATAATATGCTATCATCCTTATCTTTGTTTTGGTGAATATGCATGTGTTTTAAAATAATTTTTGAAATTGTAAATGATAAATTAAGTTGTGTATATATACACACACACAAAGTAATGCTTTGATTTATGAATACAGTGTTGAATAATGAAATCAAACTAATTAACCTGTTCATCACTCAAATACTTGCGACGTTTTTGTGGTGAGAAAATTTGAAATTTTATCAATTTTGAAATGAAATGTATGATATAGTATTGTTTGCTATATTCACCATGTTGTGCAATATACCTCAAAGAAAAAATAAACCCTTATGCCTCCTGTCTAATGATCCCTTTTCACTGTCATCTCCCCATTTCCTCCCACCCCTAGCCTGTGTTAACCACAATTCTATTCGCTTCTTTGAGTTCAAGTATTTTAAATTTTACCTATTTATCTGTTCTCCCATGCAGTATTTGTGTTTCTGTACCTGGCTTATTTCACTTGGCATAATGTTCTCCAATTTCATCTATGTTTTTGCCAGTGAAAAATTTCTTTAAAGCTGAATAGCATTCTGTTGTGTATACATATCACATTGTCTTTATCCATTCATCTGTTGATATATACTTAGGCTGATTCCACGTCTTGGCTATTGTGAACAGTATACTATAATCAACATAGGAGTGTTGACATCTCTTTGACATTACTGATTTCAAATCTTTTGGCTAAATATTCAGCAGCGAGATTGCTAAATTACATGTCTTATTTTTATGACTACTTTTTAGATATTCTCTTTATCATTGGTTTTGAACAATTTGAGTCTGATAATGCCTTGCAGTTTTCTTCATATTTCTTGTGCTAGGGGATCATTGAGCTGCTTGCATCAGTGAGTTTATAGGTTTTGTCAAAGCTGGAAAAATGTAGGTCTTTATTTCTTTTCATATTTTGTTTCTCTATTCTTTCCCTCTTTGGGTACTCCAATTACACATATTTTATGAGTCTTGAAGTTGTCTCCCACAGGCGATTGATGCTCTTTATTTTTGCCATTCATTTTGGATAGTTTCTATTGCTATGTCTTCAAGTTCCTTAGTACCTTCTTATCCCATGTCTAATATATCTTGATCCCATCCCATCCACTATATTTTTCATCTCAGATATTGTCATTCTCATCTATTTAAGTACAATTTGAGTCTTTTCTATGTATTTTATATCTCCACTGAACTGTTGAAACATGTCTTTATAGTAGTAGTTGTTTTCATTAGTATCCTTGTGTGCTAATTCTCACATGTGGATCAGTTCTGAATGGTTTCAATTGATTACATTCAGTTCTCCCCATTATGGGTTGCATTACTACTTCTTGGCATGCCTGATAATCTTTAATTGGATGCCTGTTGGTTCCTGGGTATTGTATTATTATATTCCTAAATCTTTTTTTGAGATTTGTTCTTGAATTATCTTAAGTTACTTATAAACAGTTTGATTATTTTGAATCTTAATTTTAATACTTATTAGGCAGGACCAAAATTGCATTAACTTTAGGGATAACTGTTCCCACTACTGAGGCAAGACTCTTGAACACTGTGGCAATATCCCATGAATCATGAGAATTTCCATTCTGACTGGTGGAAACAGGCACTATTCCCAGGGGCTTCTTGACCACCTTGTTAACCCCAATTTTCTTCTTCTTCTTTTTTTTTTTTTTTTTTTTTGAGACAGAGTCTCATTTTGTTGCCCAGGCTGGAGATCAGTGTCAGACAGGATCTCCACTCACCACAACCTCTTCCTCCCAGGTTCAAGCAATTCTCCTGCCTCGGCCTCCTGAGGAGCTGGGATTACATGTGTGCACCACCATTCCGGGCTAATTTTTTTTTGTACTTTTAGTAGAGTCAGGGTTTTGCCATGTTGGCCAAGCTGGTCTAGAACTCCTGACCTCAAGTGATCTGCCCACCTCGGCCTCCCAATGTGCTAGGATTACAGGTGTGAGCCACCATGCCTGATCAAACCCCAATCTTCACAGGTGGTTCTCTTTCTGGCCTTAGTTTCTTTGCATACTCTGTTGAATACTATACTCTGTTCCATACTCTGTTGAATACTATAGTGTAATCCTTTACAGATATCTGTGGTTCTGTTTTGGTGTTGCTCTCTCCTCTCTGGTACTCTGGATATCAGTTATAGCCATGTTGGTTTCCCCACACATTCAACTCTTCAACTCAGGGCATCTGCTGCATTCTCCCTTTTTGGAAGCTCTGTTCAGTTAGTAAGTTGTGCCATTTATAGGGCTCACCTTATTTGCTCTCTTTCAGGGATCATAGTACTTCATTGCCTGATGTGTGGTGCCTTGAAAATTGTTGTTTCACTTATTTTGTCTGTTTTCATGCATTTCAAATGGAAGGGTAAATACTGTCCCTGTTGCCATATTTTGACCAGAGACAGAAAAGTCAAAGGCTCTATTTTTTTAAATGAATTTTATTGTTTACATGCAAAGCGAAATAAAAAAACATAAAATGTTAAGTGTACAGTTCAATGAGTTATAATATAATCACATATATGTAACCACTAATCAAGTAAAAATAAAGAACATTACTGTTACCTAACAACTCTCCTTCCCTCTCCTCCTTAAACAAAATAAAGCAAAAGAAAAAATATCCTGAGTTATAATACTATAATTTCATATAACTTTATATAAATGAAATCTTTAGGTATGCATTTTATATCTAGCTTTTTTGTTCAGCATTATGGCTATTATATTTATCCATGTGGTTGCACATAGCAGTTCATATATTTTCATTGTTGTATTTTACTGTATGAATATGGCATAATTTGTTTTTCAGTTGGAGAACACTTGGATTGTTACACACATGAACACACACAAACACACACACAATTTTGGATATGTAGTTTCGAATGGAATTTTTGGTCCCTGGGTTTGTGTATGTTAAGTTTTAGTCAATATTACCAAACAATTTTATTTTTTTTTCAGATTTTGTCTTTTTTAATTAACTTTTCCCTTTGACATTATTTTTTTTTATTATACTTTCAGTTATAGGGTACATGTGCACAACGTGCAGGTTTGTTACATATGTATACATGTGCCATGTTGGTGTGCTGCACCCATTAACATGTCATTTACATTAGGTATATCTCCTAATGCTATACCTCCTCCCTCCCCACTCCCCTCTCCCCCCACCCCATGATGGGCCCCAGTGTGTGATGTTCCCCTTCCTGTGTCCAAGTGTTCTCATTGTTCAATTCCCACCTATGAGTGAGAACATGCGGTGTTTGGTTTTTTCTACTTGTGATAGTTTGCTGAGAATGATGGTTTCCAGCTTCATCCATGTCCCTACAGAGGACATGACCTCATCATTTTTTATGGCTGCATAGTATTCCATGGTATATATGTGCCACATTTTCTTAATTCAGTCTATCATTGATGGACATTTGGGTTGGTTCCAAGTGTTTGCTATTGTGAATAGTGCCTCAATAAACATACATGTGCATGTGTCTTTATAGCAGCATGATTTATAATCCTTTGGGTGTATACCCAGTAATGGGATGGCTGGGTCAAATGGTATTTCTAGTTCTAGATCCTTGAGAAATCGCCACACTGACTTCCACAATGGTTGAAGTAGTTTACAGTCCCATCAACAGTGTAAAAGTGTTCCTACTTCTCCACATCCTCTCCAGCACCTGTTGTTTCGTGACTTTTTAAATATCGCCATTCTAACTGGTGTGAGATGGTATCTCATTGTGGTTTTGATTTACATTTCCCTGATGGCCAGTGATCATGAGCATTTTTTCATGTATCTGTTGGCTGCATAAATGTCTTCTTTCGAAAAGTGTCTGTTCATATCCTTTGCCCATATATCCTTTGTTCATATAATTTGATGGGGTTGTTTGTTTTTTTCTTGTAAATTTGTTTAAGTTCACTGTAGATTCTGGATATTAGCCCTTTGTCAGATGAGTAGACTGCAAAAATTTTCTCCCATTCTGTAGGTTGCCTGTTCACTCTGATGATAGTTTCTTTTGCTGTGCAGAAGCTCTTTAGTTTAATTAGATCCCATTTGTCAATTTTGGCTTTTGTTGCCATTACTTTTGGTGTTTTAGACATGAAGTCCTTGTCCATGCCTATGTCCTGAATGGTATTGCCTAGGTTTTCTTCTAGGGTTTTTATGGTTTTAGGTGTAACATTTAAGTCTTTAATCCATCTTGAATTAATTTTTGTATAAGGTGTAAGGAAGGGATCCAGTTTCAGTTTTCTACATATGGCTAGCCAGTTTTCCCAGCACCATTTATTAAATAGGGAATCGTTTCCCCATTTCTTGTTTTTGTCAGGTTTGTCAAAGATCAGATGGTTGTAGATGTGTGGTATTATTTCTGAGGGCTCTGTTCTGTTCCATTGGTCTGTATCTCTGTTTTGGTACCAGTACCATGCTGTTTTGGTTACTGTAGCCTTGTAGTATAGTTTGAAGTCAGGTAGCGTGATGCCTCCAGCTTTGTTCTTTTGGCTTAGGATTGACTTGGCAATGTGGATTCTTTTTTGGTTCCATATGAACTTTAAAGTAGTTTTTTTTTTCCAATTCTGTGAACAAAGTCATTGGTAGATTGATGGGGATGATACTGAATCTATAAATTACCTTGGGCAGTATGGCCATTTTCATGATACTGATTCTTCCTACCCATGAGCATGGAATGTTCTTCCATTTGTTTGTATCCTGTTTTATTTCCTTGAGCAGTGGTTTGTAGTTCTCCTTGAAGAGGTCCTTCACATCCCTTGTAAGTTGGATTCCTAGGTATTTTATTCTCTTTGAAGCAATTATGAATGGGAGTTCACTCATGATTTGGCTCTCTGTTTGTCTGTTATTGATGTATAAGAATGCTTGTGATTTTTGCACATTGATTTTGTATCCTGAGACTTTGCTGAAGTTGCTTATCAGCTTAAGGAGATTTTGGGCTGAGATGATGGGGTTTTCTAAATATACAATCATGTCATCTGCAAACAGGGACAATTTGACTTCCTCTTTTCCTAATTGAATACCCTTTATTTCTTTTTCCCGTCTGATTGCCCTGGTCAGAATTTCCAACACTATGTTGAATAGCAGTGGTGAGAGAGGGCATCCCTGTCTTGTACCAGTTTTCAAAGGGAATGCTTCCAGTTTTTGCCCATTCAGTATGATATTCGCTGTGGGTTTGTCATAAATAGCTCTTATTATTTTTGGATACATCCCATCAATACCTAATTTATTGAGAGTTTTTAGTATGAAGGACTGTTGAATTTTGTCAAAGGCCTTTTCTGCATCTATTGAGACAATCATGTGGTTGTTTTCTTTGGTTCTGTTTATATGCCAGATTACGTTTATTGATTTTCATATGTTGAACCAGCCTTGCATCCCAGGGATGAAGCCCACTTGATCATGGTGGATAAGCTTTTTGATCTGTTGCTGGATTCGGTTTGCCAGTATTTTATTGAGGATTTTTGCATCGATGTTCATCAGGGATATTGGTCTAAAATTCTCTTTTTTGTGTGTGTGTCTCTGCCAGGCTTTGGTATCAGGATGATGCTGGCCTCATAAAATGAGTCAGGAAGGATTCCCTCTTTTTCTATTGATTGGAATAGTTTCAGAAGGAATAGTACCAGCTCCTCCTTGTACCTCTGGTAGAATTCGGCTGTGAATCTGTCTGGTCCTGGATTTTTTTTCGTTGGTAGGCTATCAATTATTGCCTCAATTTCAGAGCCTGTTATTGGTCTATTCAGGGATTCAACTTCTTCCTGGTTTAATCTTGGGAGGGTGCATGTGTCCAGGAATTTATACCGTTCTTCTAGATTTTCTAGTTTATTTGCATAGAGTTGTTTATAGTATTCTCTGATGGTAGTTTGTATTTCTGTGGGATCGGTGGTGATATCCCCTTTATCATTTTTTATTGTGTCTATTTGATTCTTCTCTCTTTTCTTCTTTATTAGTCTTGCTACCGGTCTATCAATTTTGTTGATCTTTTCAAAAAACCAGCTCCTGGATTCATTGATTTTTTTGAAGGGTTTTTTGTGTCTCTATCTCCTTCAGTTCTGCTCTGATCTTAGTTATTTCTTGCCTTCTGCTAGCTTTTGAATGTGTTTGCTCTTGCTTCTCTAGTTCTTTTAATTGTGATGTTAGGTGTCAATTTTAGGTCTTTCCTGCTTTCTCTTGTGGGCATTTAGTGCTATAAATTTCCCTCTACACACTGCTTTAAATGTGTCCCAGAGATTCTGGTATGTTGTATCTTTGTTCTCATTGGTTTCAAAGAACATCTTTATTTCTGCCTTCATTTCGTTATGTACCCAGTAGTCATTCAGGAGCAGGTTATTCAGTTTCCATGTAGTTGAGTGGTTTGGAGTGAGTTTCTTAACCTGAATTCTAGTTTGATTGCACTGTGGTCTGAGAGACAGTTTGTTATAATTTCTCTTCTTTTATATTTGCTGAGGAGAGCTTTACTTCCAACTATGTGGTCAATTTTGGAATAAGTGCAATATGGTGCTGAGAAGAATGTATAATCTGTTGATTTAGGGTGGAGAGTTCTGTAGATGTCTATTAGGTCCACTTGGTGCAGAGCTGAGTTCAATTCCTGGATATCTTTGTTAACTTTCTGTCTCATTGATCTGTCTAATGTTGACAGTGGGATGTTAAAGTCTCCCATTATTATTGTGTGGGAGTCTAAGTCTCTTTGTAGGTCTCTAAAGACTTGCTTTATGAATCTGGGTGATCTTGTATTGGGTGCATATATATTTAGGATAGTTAGCTCTTCTTGTTCGATTGATCTCTTTACCATTATGTAATGGCCTTCTTTGTCTCTTTTGATCTTTGTTGGTTTAAAGTCTGTTTTATCGGAGTCTAGGATTGCAACCCCTGCCTTTTTTTGTTTTCCATTTGCTTGGTAGATCTTCTTCCATCCCTTTATTTTGAGCCTATGTGTGTCTCTGCACATGAGATGGGTCTCCTGAATATGGCACACTGATGGGTCTTGACTCTTTATCCTATTTGCCAGTCTGTGTCTTTTAATTGGAGCATTTAGCCCATTTACATTTAAAGTTAATATTGTTATGTGTGAATTTGGTCCTGTCATTATGATGTTAGCTGGTTATTTTGCTCATTAGTTGATGCAGTTTCTTCCTAGCATCGATGGCCTTTACAATTTGGCATGTTTTTGCAGTGGATGGTATCGGTTGTTCCTTTCCATGTTTAGTGCTTCCTTTAGGAGCTCTTCTAGGGCAGGCCTGGTGGTGACAAAATCTCTCAGCATTTCCTCCCTTTAAAGGATTTTATTTCTCCGTCACCTATGAAACTTAGATTGGCTGGATATGAAATTCTGGGTTGAAAATTCTTTTCTTTAAGAATGTCGAACATTGGCCCCCACTTTCTTCTGGCTTGTAGAGTCCTGCCAAGAGATCTGCTGCTAGTCTGATGGGCTTCCCTTTGTGGGTAACCCGACCTTTCTCTCTGGCTGCCCTTAACATTTTTTCCTTCATTTCAACTTTGGTGAATCTGACAATTATGTATCTTGGAGTTGCTCTTCTCGAGGAGTATCTTTGTGGCATTCTCTGTATTTCCTGAATTTGAATGTTGGCCTGCCTTGCTAGGTTGGGGAAGTTCTCCTGGACAATATCTTGCAGAGTGTTTTCCAAGTTGGTTCCATTCTCCCCGTCACTTTCAGGTACAGCAATCAGACGTAGATTTGGCCTTTTCACATAGTCCCATATTTCTTGCTTTGGTCATTTCTTTTTACTCTTTTTACTCTAAACTTCTCTTCTCGCTTCATTTCATTCATCTGATCTTCAAGCACGGATACCCTTTCTTCCAGTTGATTGAATTGGCTACTGAAGCTTGTGCATTTGTCACGTAGTTCTCATGCCATGGTTTTCAGCTCTATCCGGTCATTTCAGGACTTCTCTGCACTGATTATTCTAGTTAGCCACTCATCTAATCTTTATTCAAGATTTTTAGCTTCTTTGCAGTGGGTTTGAACTTCTTCCTTTAGCTTGGAGAAGTTTGATCATCTGAAGCCTTCTTCTCTCAACCCATCAGTCATTCTCCATCAAGCTTTGTTCCGTTGCTGGTGAGGAGCTGCTTTCCTTTGGAGGGGGAGAGATCCTCTGATTTTTAGAATTATCAGCTTCTCTGCTCTGTTTTTCCCCATCTTTGTGGTTTTATCTACCTTTGGTCTTTGATAATGGTGACATACAGATGGGGTTTTGGAGTGGATGTCCTTTGTGTTTGTTAGTTTTCTTTCTAACAGTCAGGACCCTTAGCTGTAGGTCTGTTGGAGTTTGCTGGAGGTCCACTCCAGACCGTGTTTGCCTGGGTATCAGCAGAGGAGGCTGCAGAACAGCGAATATTGCTGAATAGCAAATGTTGCTGCCTGATCGTTCCTCTGGAAGTTTCATCTCAGAGGAGTACCCGGCCATATGAGGTGTCAGTCTGCCCCTACTCGGGGGTGCCTCCCAGTTAGGCTACTCGGGGGTCAGGGACCCACTTGAGGAGGCAGTCTGTCCGTTCTCAGATCCCAAACTCCATGCTGGGAGAAGCACTACTCTCTTCAAGGCTGTCAGACAGGGACATTTAAGTCTGCAGAGGTTTCTGCTGCCTTTTGTTCAGCTATGCCCTGCCCCCAGAGGTGGAGTCTACAGAGGCAGGCAGGCCTCCTTGAGCTGCAGTGGGCTCCACCCAGTTCAAGCTTCCCAGCTGCTTTGTTTACCTACTCAAGCCTCAGCAATGGTGGGCGCCCCTTCCTTGAGCCTGGCTGCCACCTTGCAGTTTGATCTCAGACTGCTGTGCTAGCAATGAGCAAGGCTCCGTGGGCGTGGGACCCTCCGAGCCAGGCATGGGTTATAATCTCCTAGTGTGCAGTTTGCTAAGACCATTGGAAAAGCACAGTATTAGCATGGGAGTGACCCGATTTCCGGGTGCCGTCTGTCACAGCTTCCCTTGGCTAGGGAAGGGAATTCCCTGACCCCTTACACTTCCCGGATAAGGCAATGCCTTGCCCTGCTTTGGCTCACACTCGGTGGGCTGCACCCACTGTCCTGCACCCACTGTCCGACAAGCCCCAGTGAGATGAACCCGGTACTTCAGTTGGAAATGCAGAAATCACTTGTCTTCTGCGTCACTCGCACTAGGAGCTGTAGACTGGAGCTCTTCCTATTTGGCCATCTTGGAACCACCCCCTACCAAACAATTTTATATAGTGGTTTTAAGAATTCAGTTTTCTTTTCCTCCTCTCACAAGCAATATATGACAGGGATCGCAACACCAACCTTTGAATATCATTGTCTGCTTTAAATTGTAGACATTTTGATGTAGATGTAGTCTGGTGTATATGTAGTCGTGATTTTAATTTGCATATTCATGATGAATAGTGATGTCAATAACATTTTCATGTGCTGAGTGGTCATTTGAATATCTTCTTTTGTGAAATGCCTGTTCAAGTCTCTTGTCCATTTTATTTTATTACCTGTCTTTTCTTATTGACTTATAGAAGGTTTTTTCCAATATATATGCTAGATACAAGCCCTTTGTTGATTTCATGTGTTGCAAATATTTTCTTCCACTTTGTGGCTCACATTTTCTCTAATAGTGTATTTACATGAAAAGTTCTGATTTAATATAGTATAATTTCAATTTTGTCCATTATGGTGATAATAAAGAAAGTGAATCATGCCTGCTCCCAGTTTGTGAAAGAGAATCTTGCCTGCTCCCAGTTCATTTTGTGAAAATATTCTTAAATGCTAACTTAAGGAAGATTTAATGTTTCATCTATTATATTTAGAATGGCAATCTACCTGGAATTAATTTTTGTGTATGTTCAAAAGCAGAAGCCAATTTTATTTTTTATTACATTGTATATACATTTGGCCCAATGCCGTCTTTTGAAAAGGTCATTCTTTGCTACTGCCTAGTCAATCAAGTGTTGTCTTTATCATCGACCAAGTATCAAGTGTGAGTCTGTTTCTGAACCCTTTTATTCTGTTCCATTCTTCTATTTATCTATCTTTGCAACAATACCTTATATATTACTTCAGCTTTATAAATAATCTTGATGTCTAGTAAAGTCCCCTGTTTCTTCTTAATGTTTATGGCTTACAGCCAAGTCATTATTTTCCATGAAAGCATCTCATAGATCATATAGCACTTGTTACAGATAAACCATACATTTATATACATATTAAAAATTATTTAATTTCTTCTTCTTAAAATAATTTTCTAAACTTTAGAAGGTAAATCTTTATTTCCTTTCTCATCAAGAATATATCAATAAGATAGTTGAGAATTAAAGATTGAAGAATCATCTATTTTTGTCTCCTGTTGCTCATGGCATATAAGTAATTAATCTTATCAACCATTTTTAGCTTTAGCAATTGCTATTAGCATAAGTTCTTATTAGAATATTCATAAGAAATATCTATTTATTCAAGTACTTTTTTGTGGGTTTAAAAATCCATTATTTTACAACTAAATAGGCTCTAAATTTTTAATCTTTGCAGTAAGGTATGTATTAGAAAGATAATTAAATCTTTTAGATGACTTTGCCAATTACTGTAAGAATAATAATAATAGTGGACTCTACACCCCCATACAAATAAGGCCACACATCAATTTATATGTTAACATTATTATACGGAAGTGGCTTAGACACAATTCAGTGACTGTTCTCAGTCATTGATGTTACCCAGTGAGTTCATAGCAAATACTAGGTATAAAGAAAAGGATATCTGTCAGGTATTTGAAAGACAAACAGAGGTGATGCCAAGTCATCATATGCCCTTAAAGCTGTGCCTGACAAAAATCTCTCCTCACTGCCTTGTGGTTAAGTTATAGAGACATAGAAAATATGGAAAGAAGGCACATTAGACAAGTTATGAAACAGTTGCTAAAAGATGACAAAACCTGGACTGAATGTTTAGTAGTAAATCAAGAATATTAACAATAAATGAAAAGGAGATTTTGAGTATGTCCCTTTACAAACACAAAATTGGGCTTCTTTTTTCCTGCCTTTTAAGACATATTCCTAAGCTATATATTACCCTGTGGTGATCTTCTTCTTTCAAAATTTATTTTTGTTTGTTATGTTAACCTAAATCTACCTGTGTGTGTTTGGCCAGAGCCTCACGGTGTGACCTGCCTATATCTGTGGATGGTCCTGGCTTCATCACTTACCTAGAAATGGCTCTGCCAGATTCCCAAATATTACACAGATTATTACTAATCACCTTTCAAAATTGTTCAGCCAAATTATTTAAACATTATTCATCATTTAATGAATAAAAATAAACTAAATAAGAATTTAACTATCTACAGGAAGATTGATAGATGTTGACAAAACTACAGTCATTAACGGTTTTATTATACTTAGAAAATATGGCTATTTTAATCTTGTATTGCACATATGAATGTTTTAAGTAGGACTACATAATAAAGATAATTTTTCCTCACAGAAATATATGCCTTATTTTGTAAATCATTCCCTCGATAAATGTAGATGTAACATGTTTGAAATGAAATATTTTATTTATATGGTATGGCAGTAAAGATAATTAATCACAAAGTAAACAGAATTACTTTGTTAACCATGTAATCTTAACATAGCTAAGCAGATGTTCATTTTTTTGTTTCTTTATGAGTAAACAAGTATGATATTTATTGTTTTTAAAGGTGCTGGTAAATTTATTTGCCTTGTTAAATCACATCTACTATATTAAGGCTATTTTAAGTTTGGAAAATCACTCATGGGGTAATTTGAATCCACCAAATGCTATTAAGAAGTAGCTTATAGATCAGTGAGTTTACATTTTTTTATATTGTAAAGTAGTGTGATTTTAATTAATAGTTGATCACAACATCTGATCACTTGCACAAAATTGCCCAGGATATAAAGTGAAAATAAAGGGAACACATAGGCATAAAAAGGGGAAAATAGAGCATAATTTATTCACACTATAATTTCATAAGAAAAATAATACTTTATTATGAAAAATACAGAATAGATATAATTTAAAATCACAGTTCTTTAATCCAAACATTACACATCTCACAAAAGTTTGAAATTTATCATGTTTTCTTATTTGCTCTAGATGGTTAAATAATTCTTTCTAGGTCAGCACTGGTCTGTAAATCAGCACTTGGGGAATCAATGCTATAAGTAAAATTTTTATATTTGGCAGCAGAATATGTACAAAACTTGGTTTTTTCTAAAATGAGATTGTGTGCTAAACCAGTCATGTGTTCACAATGCTTGGGTATTCTAAACCTAATGAAATATGATATATTTACTCAAAGTCAGTTCCATAACAGGTGGTAAAAACAAAGAGCAAAGTATGAATTCTGCTCATAAGGAATGTTACAGTTTAGTTGGGGATTTGTAGCCATTCCTGTCAATGTCCCACCAATATGCCCTTGTCACTACCATGTCTATGCATGCAACCCCAAATTCCACCTGAAGTCACTGAAACCTGTTCTGCAAGAAGGGTCTAAAGAAAATGGCCAAGTTTTGTCTCCAACCTAACCTCCCTCACTAGCGGTATCAAACCAAAGAATGAAGAAAGTTAGTATATAAATACCCAAGCTCCTTTGCCCGTGAGGTGGAGAAAGTCTTAAGTGGGTATTTCACATTCTTTCCTAAGCCTCTCAAAAAATCCTCTCTAGTTTTCCACAGTAATAACTTGCTTGATAACACATCATTTATTTTCTTGTTTTCCTTCTCTGTCTCAGTTCCCTACCAGCACTGCTGCTTTCTGGAATCTCCTTTCTAATAAACTACTTGTACTTGAGTCATTGCCCCGGAATTTGATTCTGAGGGAACACAAATAAGAAAGAGTTACAATAAATTATGTTGCAAATTTGAAAACAAACAAAACAACTAAAATAAAACAATTCATTCAAATGATGGTTAGCCTGATTCAAATTAAAATGGAGAAAAAATGTTGACTGTAGGAGAGACCTGGGTTTGTGCTTCAGCATGTTACTTAATAGCTGTGTGACTTTGGGCAAGTCCATTTTTTTCCCTCTAATCAATCATTTCTTCTTCAATTGTACATAATAAAAACTTTCTTAAAAATTGTTAGGCATGAATAAAATAATTCATTGAAAGTATTTTTATAAACTCTAAGTAATTCACTAATAGAAGCTATTAATATTATCAAAATCATGTTAGACTTATCCTATCCTGGATATTCATTTACTCAAAATATACTGTGAAATAATGTTAAAGAAATACCAAACAGTTTAAAAGTGGGTAAATAAGAGTGATCGTACTCCCCACTTTCCCATTCATAATTCCTCTCCCAAGTTTTCAGACACAACTATTTTCAAGAATTTCTGAACTGAGTGCTTCTAGTGATTATCATTAATTTGATAATATACATGCACTTTGATCAACTTTGATCTCATCTATTGACTTTTCACCATGAAATATGAGAAATTTGGTATCTTTCTATTATATACCGTACTCTTCTTGAGTACATGATTATTTTTTATTTGTTTATTTATTCATTTATTTTTAAATTATACTTTAAGTTCTGGGATACCATTTTGTTACATAGGTATACGCATGTCATGGTGGTTTGATGCACCCATCAACCTATCATCTACATTAGGTATTTCTCTTAATGCTATCCCTCCCATAGTCCCCCACCCTCCGACAAGCACCAGTTTGTGATGTTCCCCTCCCTCTGTCCTTGTGTTCTCATTGTTCAAATCCCACTTATGAATGAGAACATGAGATGTTTGGTTTTCTGTTCCTGTGTTAGTTTGCTGAGAATGATGGTTTCCAGCCCCATCTATGTCCCTGCAAAGAACATGAACTCATCCTTTTTTATGGCTGCATAGTATTCCATGGTGTATATGTGCCACATTTTCGTTATCCAGTCTACCATTGATGGGCATTTGGGTTGGTTCCAAGTCTTTGGTACTGTGAATAGTGCTGCAATAAACATACGTATGGATGTGTCTTTATAGGAGAATGATTTATAAACCTTTGGGTATATACCCAGTAATGAGATTGCTGGGTCAAATGGTATTTCTGGTTCTAGGTCCCTGAGGAATCGCCACACTATCTTCCACAATGGTTGACCTAATTTACACTCTCACCAACAGTGTAAAAGCTTTCCTATTTCTCCACATCCTCTCCAGTATCTTGTTTCCTGACTTTTTAATGATCGCCATTCTAACTGGAGTGAGATGGTACCTCATTGTGGTTTTAATTTGAATTTCTCTAATGACCAATGATGATGAGCTTTTTTTCATATGTTTATTGGCTGCATAAATGTCTTCTTTTGAGAGGTGTCTGTTCATATTCCACGCCCACTTTTTGATGAGGTTGTTTGTTTCTTTCTTATAAATTTGTTTAAGTTCCTTGTGGATTCTGGATATTAGCCCTATGTCAGATAGATTGCAAGATTTTTCTCCCATTCTGTAGGTTGTCTGTTCACTCTAATGAGTTTCTTTTGCTGTGCAGAAACTCTTTAGTTTAATTAGATCCCATTTGTCAATTTTGGCTTTTGTTGCCATTGCTTTTGGTGTTTTAGTCATGAAGTCTTTGCCCATGCCTATATCCTAAATGGTATTGCCTAGGTTTTCTTCTAGGGTTTTTATGGTTGTAGGTCTTACGTTTAAGTCTTTAATGCATCTTGAGTTAATTTTTGTATAATGTGTAGGGAAGGGCTTCAGTTTCATTTTTCTGCATATGGCTAGCCTGTTTTCCCAACACCACTTATTAAATAGGGAATCCTTTCTCCATTGTTTGTTTGTGTCAGGTTTGTCAAAGATCAAATGGTTGTAGATGTGTGGCATTATTTTTGAGGCCTCTGTTCTGTTCCATTGGTGTATATATCTGTTTTGCTACCAGTCCCCTGCTGTTTTGGTTACTGTAGCCTTGTAGTATAGTTTGAAGTCAGGTAGTGTGATGCCTCCAACTTTGTTCTTTTTGCTTAGGATTTTCTTTGTTATACAGGCTATTTTTTGGTTCCATATGAAATTTAAAGTATTTTTTTCTAATTCTGTGAAGAAGGTCAATGGTAGCTTGATGGGGATAGCATTTTCATGATACTGATTCTTCCTATCCATGAGCATGATTCTTGATGTATATATTTCTAGTTTTAGTTTTTTTGAGGTTGTTTACCAAATTTTTCTAAATCTTTATTTCTTGATTTGTCTAATTTAGATAGTCCTTATTGACTCCTATTTTGAAACATAAAGTAACAAGCACATCTACCATCCTTTTTACCTCTTCTGCTTCCTATTCTAACTTGTTATGTTATTATTTTTTAGTTGGTCAAAGCTGTAGACATGACATTCTGTTCTATAATTTGAATGAATTATTATGTCCTTCATGTGTAAAGAAATTCTGAAAATAGAAAACTTCAACATATTACTTGCAATGTTATGATTATATACATATTTTTCACTCTAGTAGGATGATTAGATGGATAAAATATTCTTGTGTTATTATTTTTATTTAAAATAATAGTCTAAGTATTGTTCCAACAGAACCTGTTGATCAGAAAAAAATCAAAGAAATAAAACTTTATACATATCTTTGATGTCATATTGCCACTATTTATGTATCTCACATCATGTCTATATATGGGTTTCTTGTTCTTCATTCTGGAATATATATTTGAGCAATTTATTGTTACAGGAAATTTTATAATTATATTGCATGCCTGAAAATGCCCTCACATATGCCTAATAATTTTTTTGAAATAAGTTCTTAGTGACAAATTGATTTTATATATCATTCTGAATGTTGTTCATGATATAGCCAATAATTTATTAATTATTAAAATACCTTTTTATATTTTGAATTATAAACTATGAATCTTAACCAAAATATTTCCTTGTGTAATTTTTTCTGACCCAGCATTTACTGTGTTTGATAATGGGTAGGCTTAATAGGTCTGAACACTTGTGTCTTTTTGGCTCTAAAATTTTTCCTTAAATTATTTAATTATTATTCAATAAATATTTCCTATTATAGATTAAACTTTTTCCAGTTGCTGGAATTGGAGGTTATAGATGAGTGAAAAGGATGTTTAACAAAACATACCAACAGGAGATTGCTATCCAGTAAGGGATTTAAGACACTTTTATCAAATATTCAAAACCAGGTAGAAAGGAATTATTGGGTAGGGCAGGGAGGTAAATGAGAAGGAGAAAATGCTTCTTTCTCTGTTTTAATAAATTACTTCTGTTATATAACATTCTTTTTAAAAGTTTATGTTTTCATTAATAGACTATTTTCTGTAACATCTTTAAAATTATTAAACTAGAATTTATGAAAATTTCCTCTACTTCTAAATTAGCCTTGTTTCCTTCAGTGTCATGAATTTTGTTTGCTCATCCTAGTATTTTTATAACATGATACTGAGTCTCTTCAAATGTCCAGTGATCTATATTTGTTTATTATATTTATGATTATGATGAACTAGTTTGGTTAGTACATGAGATTTCCCTCTACAGTATGGTGATTTGTCCACGTATTGGTCCTTTCTACTGAATGTGAGGGTTACTGTGGGTTTGGTGAGAGTGAATGAAATATATTCATGAAGGGTGCATGGTTGAGGAGTAGGTTGGTAGCTGGTGTTCTTTCTCAGTTAACAAATGGATTAGAATTCTTTGGTCTAATTCACTCCTAGATAGTTCATTTGTTTCCCCTTTATCATTTTTTTAACTGCTAGCATTTCAGGTATGAAAGAAATTTCAATTCAACCTTCTTATTTTATATATCAGGGAACTGAGTCTTAGAGAGATGAATACATTAGATAAGTGCAAGGAATAAATGATGCCAATATCGAGACTAAAAATAAAAAAAACCTCCTGATTGTTAATCCTCGTATTTTTAATAATCTCAAGCCTTCAACTCTGTTTGGAAATTAGTTTATGTTCTCATTCATATATACCCTCTTAGGGTAGCCTGACAATAGCAGAATTGTTGCTCTGATGGCATTTGCTATTATTAAGTTATTTAAAGAGTAAAACCTTCTGCTCAAGATAGAGAGATGTTAAGATGTATTTGATCAGGGATCTAAGAGGTTGAATATCAGTTTTGTTCTAGGTGAGTTGTTTTTCAACCCAGGGAAGTCCCTAATGGAAGCATATAGACAGAGAGTAAGTGACCATTCAAAAATAAAGTATTTGGTTACGACAGTAATCTTTTGAAAGGGATTGTAGGTTGGAGTCCTTAAAGCCTGAAAAAATTTTGGAAGAGAGAATTCAAAAGCAACATCTGATATAAACTCTGAATAGATGGCAAAGGGATTTTTACACTCTTTTGTTAAATTCAGTTTCAACTTAATATCAAGTCTTCCTACTTTCAGGCAGGCTTATATAATCTTTACCTTGAAGAACTTTAAAAAAGAACAATTTAATGAACTTTCCACTGTTCATTCTGTCTTCTTGCCTATAGGTGAGACTAATTTTCTATTTGGCGTGCTGAAGCTAAAAAGAGTTTGAGGAATAGGAAAACTTCATCTGTTTGCATTTGAAAATGAAACTAATTCAGGGCACTTCTGCAAATTGTAAAATGATGCTCTTGGTAGACATTGTGAAAATGTCTCTCATGCCAGGGGTGAATAAAATCAGCTATTCTTCCAGAAAATTTAATTCAGTTGTCAATTTAATTCTGTGAATTGGCTATGTTTAACTTAAAAATAAATTAACTTAATTAAATTTAAATTAACTTTTAGCATGTCTTTATAGTTAACTATTGTTAAACTTTAGTTACTGCTAATGGGATGTATAGGAAAAAAGAGACCTTTGGTGGGCCAGAGTAATTCTAGGAACTGGCTTCCAAATTTTCCAACATCAGAAAATCTATTTTGTTAAAGTATTCTAGATATTATCACTTTTTGGATTATGTATACAACAGAAACATCTTAAAGAGATAAGATGTTGTATAAATAGACTGGCAGATTATTAGATTGTAATGGGACATATATCTTGCAATATTACCTATATTTGATATTTGCTAAGGAAATCTCCTTTCTGTTGGGCAGTATGATTAGCATCCCATGAGTTTAGAATGAACATGGAACAAATTTGTATTTTTAAAAGAGATGTTTCTATTAAACTGCAATGACTGGAAAAATCATTCTTCAAGCTAGAGATATCTATAATTAAAAATGATTATTGTTTATTGAGAGTCAATTTCCTCATGCAGCATGTAGTAGCTTCTGAAATATTTACTGACTTCACTGAATTTAGAGAAAGAAATAAAATACCTCAAATATTTAATTACCTTTTTGTGACCTCTCGCCTCTTTGGCCATGTTTATCTTCAGGAAGTTATGAGATTCTTGAGCAGAATGAAGCTTTATTTCTTCTAGTTACTTTTATTTATTTATTTTGGAGACTATGCCATATGATCAAGAATCATCACATTGAGCTTGAAGTCAGAGTGCTTGGATTCAAACTTTCATTTCTTGCTAGTTGCATATGCTTCATTTTTCTCATCTGCAAAATAGAACTAAGATAAAGGAGTTTGCGGTGAAATGGGGCAACATATGCAAAAATAACTAACATTCTTCTTGGAGCATAATGTTCATTCAGTAAAATGTTGGTTGAATCTGAGTTTATACTGATTACCTTGGCAGGATGTGGGATTACCTGTCATCCTTAAATGAATTTATAAAACTCCTCCTTGATAGATTCCCTATCTAAATGTAACACATTTTCATACAATCTTAATTCCTTTGATAGTGTTACATATGTAGATGTCCAAGCTCAACCAAGCATACATTGAATATTATGTACTTCAATTACACAAGGCAATATTTTCTGCCTCTATCTGTAAATTATAGGTATGTCCTCTTCTTTTGGAGCTTACAGTGGTGTGCTAGAGATGGTGTATAGTGGTTGACGAGAACCAATTCTTTGTGGATCATCCCACCTCTCCATTTTGTAATTTCACATGAATAGCTTGACATCGGACATGTTGGGATTATTTACATCATGGAAATCAGCAAATGCTACAAATCAGGTTTCTATTCTGATGCAAATTCTCTATCTTTTACCTGTACCATGGTACTTCAATTAATGGCAGGTAAAGAGAATCTAGAAGGTTGTGCATAACTCCTCTATGCCTTTGCTTCTACTCATAGGCATTGTCCAGAAGTAATTGAAAGGCTGAGCTTAAATGCAAGAGAACAAGGAAATAATGGGGAGCAGAAGGCATGTTTGGTGAGCACCATAGTTTATGCCAGGGAGAGTGGTTAAATGTCAAATTAAATAACCCTTACTTTGTAGTCATAGATTCTTACTGGCTTTGAGAAAACCATTCTTATAATAATGAGTCATAAATATTTGGATACAATGAAATTAACTGAGACCTAATTCACAGCTACCTCTTGGCTGAAGATGTGTGATCATATACTATGAATTGAAGAGTTAGTTCCTCTGGGATGATGTTTTCCAAAGGACCTGGAAACTTCCTGAGAAATAATTAACCCTAAGGGGAGAGGTAATAAATCTACAAATCTGGCCAGATAAAGAAACTTTCAGCTTCAGAAGGAGGAGCTTCTAGGAGAAGAGCAAAGCTTTTGTTTCTCAAATTTGACTGTCATCTAAGTGCTACCTAAGCTAATATTTATGATTTGCAGGAAGGAGGGAAAATATACGTAGAAACCAAAAAAGACTTTTTTGTATCAATACCCTGTAAAATATTGGGGTACAAGCTACAGTACTTTGGCTTTCTGCTAAGGGAGTATAATGAAGGCAGGAGAAGAAAATTTTACCCATTTTGCCACTATACTGTGTAATATTTCTTAACCTTTCATAAAATAAACCCTATGTCCAGAATAATATATGTGTAGATATAATTAGACACAAATTCATCATATGAATTCTGGCAGTTCATGTAGTCTCATGTAACATCCCACTGCTAATGTTCTAAGGGAGCCCTCAGTTCCAACACAGGGGCAGAGGTATCTGAGAGGTAACTGTCCTAGTGAAAGTAAATGTTCTCAGGAGAACCGTGTCTGCATGGGGTGTGGTGCATAGTGCGGATGAGGGTAATATTGAGTAGAGTTAGCCATGTCTACTGAGAAATAGCTCTATTTTGGCCACAGAGAGATACCTTTCATTTAAAAAAAATTGACAGATAAAATTATATGTATTTACCATGTACAGTATGATGTCTTACAGTATATATACATTTTGCAATGATAAGATCTAGCTAATTAACATATGTATTACCTCACATATTTATCATTTCTGTGGTGAGAATACTTTATATCCATTCTCTTAGCATTTTTCAAGAATACAATATATTATTAACTATAGTCACTACGTTGTATAAAAGATATATTGAACTCATTCCTTCTATCTAACTGAAATTTTATATTCTTTGACCAATATCTTCCCAACATCCCCACCCTCCCAACAATTTCCAGCCCCTGATAATTGCCATTCTCTTCTCTACTTCTAAAAGATCAACTTTTTTAGATTCCACATATAAGCAAAATCGTGTGGTATTTGTCTTCCTGTGCCTGGCTTATTTCACTTAACATGATATCCTCCAGGTTCATTCATGCTGTCATAAATAAGAGGATTTTCTTCTCTTATTGTGATGGAATAGTATTCCATTGTGTGTATATGCACTGCTATTCATTCATCTGTTGGTAGACACTTAGGTTGCTTTCATATTTGTCTATTGTGAATAATGTGGCAATAACTATGAGTCATTTTCGTATTTGTCTACTATGAATAATGTGACAATGACCATGGGAGTGCTGGTATCTCTCTGTATACTGATTTCATTTCTTTGGATGCATAACCAGTAGTTGGATTGCTGGGTCATATGTTAGTTCTACTTTAAATTTTTTGAAAACCTCCATACTTCTTTCCATAATGGTTGTACTAATTTATATTCCCATTAATAGTGTGCAAGGGTTTCCTTTTTTCCTCATCCTCGTCAATACTTGTTATCTTTTGGCTTGTTGTTGAGAATGGGCATTCTAACAGGTGCAAGGTGATAAGCAATACTTGTAAAACTGCAAAACCATTTGAAATCTTGATTGCATGCATTGATTTTTGTGGTGAGACTGTGGAAGAAATAGCAGACCTTCTGTAGTGAGTTTTTAATTGTTTCTCAAAGAGTGAAATTTGACCAGGAAACTCTATAAGTTATCTATGGTGCCAAGTGAATGTGTTAATACCTGTAAAAGGATTAGATCAATGTCTGGCACATACTTAATTCTATATAAATGTTAACTGCTATCTTATTAACATTATTATTGCCATATTTTTTAGTACTACCATCACTTTATTTCTTTATACTTTAGAATTAAGTAAAGCATACTGTTTGTAAAAAAAAAGGGGGGGAAAATGAGTACGCTTTGGAGTTTGGGGCACTGTGGATGAGCTTTAAAGAACACTAGCAATAAGGAAATTAGTGCAGTGATACTGAAGTCATTTTTCTTCATGAAAGTACAAAGTAGAAAAAAAGATAAAATTTTACATCTCAGTTCTTTAAATCTAACTTTGCAAATTATCTATATGAGAGTTAGTTTTCTATAAATAATTTAAGCTATCATTAACTGAGTTATTAATTTTAGGAGAATTTAGATAATATAGACATTATGCTGCCCCACATGCGTAAGGACAGGAGTTAGTACAAGGCATACACTATTAGATGCTGAGCATGGTGTGGGGCTTATTTCAATCATCCTGAATCAATGATGCCATTAAAACTAGTGTGCACATTGTCTTCACAGAAGTTACTAGTGATGGCAGTGGCTGGGAGGCACGGGCGGTGTTGGCAGGAGGGGTTGTGGGAGTGGCAGTGGCAGCGGTGGGTCCCCTGTGTGCCACGTCCCTGAGGTGGCCAACTGTGCAGCTGTCCATCCTTCCGCAGCAGGCTGGAGCCTGCTCCCAGGCCGGGAGCCTTCATTGCTCCGGACCCTGAATCCACATCACTACTATCACCCACCACCGCAACAGGGAGGGTTCAGGGAGGAGGCACAGCTGGGCCAGGGGCAGTGCTGCACTCCATGGAGCTGGCGGGATCCAGGGACAAGCGGGAGCCCTGGGAGCCGCTGCCATGGGGCCGGGCAGAGCTGCCCGCCAGCCGGGGAGTGTGGTCGGACAAAGAGAGGCCCAGGGCGCAGAGCTGGGTCTATGCTTTGAGGGCCCGGGGCGGGAAGTGGGAGTGGTGCCGGCTCCAGGGACCTGGCCAGTGGCGCGGCCACCGCGCTCACCCCACCAAGGGCACTGAGTTCCTTTGCCTTTGGAGGAGGCTTTGCGCAGGGCGCCTGGGACCCCGTCCCTGGGGTCCGCACAGCATCAGGCTGATCGTTGAGTCTGACACTCCTGACAGCCAGGCCAGGGTTCACGATTCACTCCCAGAGGCGCCCCCGCTACTGACAGGTCCACGAGCTGGGCAAAGGGGAGCCCTGGGGGCTGCCCCTGAGCACGGAGGCCATGGAGGGAGCTTGCAGCGTCGTTGCTCTTGCTGCTGCAAGGAAGCATGGCTGGGACTCCCAGGGGTCTCTGCACTCTGCACTCTTGGGAGCCTGGGAAAGTTCCCTCTTCCCCTGCAGGATCAAGGATGTCTGCTCCCACCATCTGGCCTCTCCCTGCTCCCGATGCCCACTCCGATCTCCAAACAGGGTTAGGGCTGAGATCGGGGCTGACACAGCCCGGCGGGGTGTGTGCAAACTCCGGGCAGTGCTGACACACTAGCCTTCTGCCACCTCAGCCCCCCTCCAGACTCTGGGCTCCAATAAGGATGGCGGGGAAGACAATGGGGGTGCTGACTTGCAGGTGCCCATTGGTGCAAGCAGCCTGGGCGCCATGGGCGATGGCAGGAGACAGACAGGCTCTTGGGTGGAAGGGGACAGTCCCCAGTGAGTCCTCATCTTCAGACCAGGGAGGGCCTGAAGGCAGGGGTCTGTGCTGACAGTCCTACAGACCAAGTGGAAACCTGGTGCCTTTTCCACCGCCCATGGCTGCCCATGGACCAATCGACAAGCACTTCCTCCTTTTTGAGACCCATAAAAGTCCCTAGCTCAGCTAGAGCAGAACAGACAACCAATGACCAGCTATAGAGAGGAACTGCCCTCTCCACTGATAGTTGAAGATGTGGGGAGGACAAGCTGCAGAGAGGAGCCACTCTCTCTGCTGATAGCTGAACACTTGTCAGGACGATTTGTCTAGCAGAGAGGACTTACCCTCTCTGCTAGGAGCTGAATGCTCATCAGCTCACCCTGGCTGCAGAAAGGAGCTACCCCCTGCAGGTTTCCTCTGAGCTCTTCTATCACTCAATAAAGCTCCGCTTCATCTTGCTCACCTTCCACTTGTCTGTGTACCTCATTCTTCCTGGTCGCAGGACAAGAACGTGGGCCCTGCCGCCAGGCTAAGACAGCTGAAACACAAACAGGGCTGAAACATGCCCCTTGCTCATCACATTGCAGGTGAAGAGAAGGAGAAAAGAACTGTGGCCCTTCAGGAAGCCTAGACCTGGGAGCTCCCCCAGCCAGGGATGTGACTCCCTCTTTGGGACCCTGCAGTTCCTGACATCTCCAAGTTACCAGGTGTCACTGCATTCCCCGTTGCCAGCCAGGGAAGCTGCTTGTGGTGGGCCTGGTCCAGCTGCAGCCTTTCAGAGAGCCAGTGCCCATGCTAGCACCTGGAGCTGCCTGCCCCATAGCAGCAGCCGGCTTGTCTGACTGCAGTGACCTGACCCCATGCTGGCTCACAACCCTTTGCCGCTCAAAGCCTGACTTGCAATCTCCCTTGGAGGCGTGGGATCCAGGCAGGTAAGGTGAGTTGAGCACAGCCTCTAGGCCCAGTGGGCAGAATGAGCCCAGTGGTTTGGAGCAAAACTCGAGGAAAGGCGCCACCGGCCACAGGTTTGCGGCCTGAAAGGTGACACCCCAAAGATCTCCTAACACTAGCACATGTTAAATGTCAAGGAAATTTCAAAAGCAGTTGCGCTTGATGAAGGTATTTCTGTTTCTTTGGAATACATTTATAATATTAAATCATTAATGGTATATCATACTGCAGTTGCATTTTAACACCCTTTGCATTGTCAAAAGTGGTATGACCATAAAAATAAAGGAAAGTATGATTAAGGTCTTTTTTTTGTAATAAGTGTATTTCTTCATTTCTGAAAAATAAAACTGGCTGCTGGCTGTACTTACTTATCAGCCACAGAATGCCATGGTTTATAAATTTTATAATAATAAAGTCTGGCAGAAGAAACAAATTGAAAACAGGAAATGAAAATCAAAAATTTAAACTGAGTAGAGATAATAAAATAAAAATAATTTGAAAGTGAATTAGAAATTAAAAGAACACCAACATAACAGAAGTCTGGTAATGTTGTTACTGACATTGAATGTTAACATGCCAGATGTATTAATATTTTATATTTATAAATTCAGAGTAAAAATTAAATAGGGAGAAGTAATTACCCTGTCTTTTCTTCCCAATATTATTTTTTGGAATTTTATGAACATTCTCATATATATTAAATTATGAAATAAATGCAAAAATAATGTGAAATTATTTTTCTTTTGCATTTCAATATGATTAGAAATAAAAGTATTCATGTATTGGCTTAGTGAGTAAATTTATAACACGTTATTTTGATGTTATTTGATCGTACATCTGAATTCCTAATTCCAGAGCAGCTTATCTAGTTGGAATTAGTTTACTTGGAAGGGGTAAGGAATAGAGAGATCTTTCATGTGTAACCTGTATTGTTTTTGTTTTTCTGAAAATAACTTAGTCTTTTGTACATAAATAGATGGCTAGATTACAGCAGCTGCTTGGAAAAGAGTTTGTGGAGGGAGTCTTCCAGTGTCTGCTGAGTTCAGCTGTTCTGGGTAATTGGAGGAAGTCGTGGCTTCCTCATCCTGACCCTTTAGAATCAGTGAACCAGCATAAATGCCAAATGCACTGCTTCCAGTGGGAAAGGAAGGGATAATACTGAGACTTCCTTTATGCATGCAGAGAGCATATAGGAATACAGGAGGCTAGGGTAGCTGAGCTCACTGACTTCTGGTTTATTACCTCTCATAGGGCTGAAAGGAAAGCATTCAGGCTGCTGTCTTGAGAAAGCTGGCACAGTTCAAACTGGCACGAACCCATTTAGGGAAACCCTAGTGATTTCCAGAGGGGAAAAAATGTAGAGAAAATTAAGAAGTAGGTGAGCCGTCTTCGGTGACTTTCGTGTTTTTGTTTCAAAGCCCTCACTTGCTAATTTATAGACTTTTTCCTAATGAGTCCAGAACTCTTGTTTCATCCTTCTCTTATTTTATTTATTTATTTATTTATTTATTTATTTATTTATTTATTTATTTATTTATTTATTTTTGAGGCATAGTCTTGCTCTGTCGCCAGGCTGGAGTGCAGTGGCACAATCTCGGCTCACTGAAACCTCCACTTCCCAGGTTCAAGTGATTCTCCTGCCTCAACCCCTCCAAGTAGCTGGGACTACAGGCGTGCGCCACCACGTCCGGCTAATTTCTGTATTTTTAGTACAGACGGGATTTCACCATGTTGGCCAGGATGGTCTCTATCTCTTGATCTCATGATCTGCCCGCCTTGGCCTCCCAAAGTGATGGAATTACAGGCATGAGCCACCACGCCCAGCCCCTTCTCTCTTTTCTTTCCTTCCCTTAAACATCCAACACATGTGACTGGTTCTACAGTAGAAACAAGCAAAGCAGCTACATGAAGATGAGGAAGAAGAGGATGATACTATCCGCAGCTTCAGCCTTTCCAAGAAATGGTGATAAAATTTATCTGAAAAGATTGCTGGAAATGTGCTGGCTTTACTTCTGGGTAATTGAGTAGGTAAGGAGTTACAGGCCGAGAGAGCACTCTGGTCAAAGGTACAGAGACACATAGGTTGTTGTGGTTGGATCATATTACAGAGAATGTGTATAAAAGTGCTAAGAAATGAGACTGTCCAACCTCCTGCCTCTACTATAGAGGATAAGGTAGGCCTAACAGTAAAGTGTTTAGACAGAGAGATCCTGAGGATACATGATGAACTGTTTCTAAGAGACAGTGCAACAGATTAAAAACAACAGTAATAAAATCTCATGTTAGATCCAAATGTGCACTGGACCAGGTGTGAGAAATAATAACCAGAAGTCCTCGGCTTGGATAACATGTAGGGGCAGACTCAGAGAAGCGGAGCAAGAATAAAGGGAGGGCATCCAGGATTTCCACACCTTGCTCTATCCACCTACCATCCTCTTTCCCACTTCAGAATGGTCCACTGCTGTTGCTGCTGCCTGGAATATTCTTTCACCACTCTTCTCTACTAACTCCTGCTCATGACCCTGTTTACTGCCAATGAGACACATTCCTTAAAATCCTTTCCAAAATCAGGTTTCATTAGTAGGAGGCTGAAGGCCTAAACCATGAAAGTGAGATACAGTATCGATAGGTTTTTAGGTTAGTTTAGTAGGTAGAATGGACAGAATTAGTGGCTAATTTGACATGAAAAATGTAAGGCAGAGCAGGCTACATAATTTTGGGGTCTATTGCAAAATGAAAACACAGTACACATTGTTTATTATTAAGTATTTAATGAAGTATGAGGTCCTTCAGTGAATGGAGTCTTGTGTGAGTGCATAAGTTACATGCCCATGAAGCTGGCCCTGATGAAGGGAGAGGGAGGAGATCAGGACTATTTTCAGCCTGAGTGGTTAGATGGTGGCAGATACCCTCAGTGAACAAAAAAGTGTTCTGGAAAGAGGAGCAGAGTTAGGTAAACTTTGAAATGTTGATATTCAGGTATATGAGGGACATTGATCGGAAGAGTTCAGTGTGTAGTTGAATATTTGCTTGTGAAGAACCTGTATTTATTTCCTTCATTATCCACCTGCTTAATCCCAGGTGCACACCCTAGTCTCTAGTAACTTTTATATTTTGGGATGGAACAAAATTTTTAGCCAAAAGAATAATTGAGTCTGCTTAAAAGTAATAGAGAGAAGGCTTTTGTCTCCACCAGATTATAGGGTATGTTGTCCTGAACACTGAGAAGAGAAGAATCTAGCTGTCTATTTTAGTACACTGAAAACAGTAATGGATTTCTCGAGCTGTAACCTGGAGGAGACTTGAGAGAGATAATAAATCTTCCAGAGGTGTCTTATTTATTGACCATCCCACCTAAGGGAATGATACTTATTTTTACTTTATACTCCTTTTTGTTGACTCCCTTTTAGTAAACCATTTATTTAAAAAATTGTAATGGTGTTTATTTCTGAAATTACATGGAAGCTGATTATGAGTCCTACAGTATAAAACCATCCTACGCAGACCAGGTTCCCGTCCTGATTTCTGACATGGGCCTTCGTGAGGAAAAGGTGACTGGTATTTAGCTATTGTGTGAAATCTATTGAAAGATGACACAGATGATGGTGCTGCCGAGTGCTCTCCCATGACTCACAGATGTAGTTGCCTAGTAACTAACCCAAAATAACATTGCTGAGGCACATCAAACCCGAGAGGCAGGGGCTGCTGTGAATCAGGACGAAGGTGCTCCAGTCAGCGGCTAACTTTTTTTCTCATTCATGGTTTCAAATTGGAAATTTTGTGGCCTTTGGTCAGTGATCCATAGAGTGAATAAGAACTTCTGGGTATATAACATCAAATCGAGTGCCTTTCTCTTTTTTCATCACTGACTGTGGTGCAGCTTTCTTTGAAAGTTTGATCTAATTGTGAAAGATGTGGAGGTCAAGCTCAAACTAAATACAGTAATAAAACAGCTCAGTCTTCTCAGCAGAACATGAGGTTATAACATTTTCCCCAGGGTTTAAAATCTGTTTGGGGTGCTTTAAAATTTTTTTAAATTACAAAAGTAAAACATGCTCATTACTCAAACATTACATTTAATTTGAAAGTTTCATTGTTATATATTCTTTCAAAAACACATATTTTATGTGTGCATGGATGTGAATAAGTGTGTTTATATGTACATTCACAGTGTTGAGTTCCCTAGAGAAGTAAAATAAGATGAACGTGTAGAAAAGCTCATTGGATTTACAAGTTAGGTTGTCACTGGTGACTTTTGTCTGAATGGCTATACTAAGTACGTGGAATGAGATCCTGATTTTAATAATGTAATCAGTGAATAGGAAGAGAACAAGCGAGTCTATCAATTGTGGACTACTCTTTTGAAGGTCTTGGTTAAGAAGGGCACGTAGAGACAAAAGAATAAGGAAGGCTTCTTTATCTGGGAAGGATTTTACGGTATTTATACACTGTGAGGAAGAAGTCAGCAGAGAATAAAAGGATGGAAATATAGGCTAATGAGGGATGGACAAATATAAGTTAAATATTGTGGTAAAAATGTATGTTTGACTGTGAGTGTTAGAATAGGTTGAAAATTTTTTAAGGTTTTTTTTTTGCCCTTATTTTAAAAAATTAAGGAATATCATGTCAGCTCTGATGACAGAGCTTTAGAAAATCTGCACAAATTCTGCTTTCTGAAATTCCTTTGCTGCAGTTTTATAGCACTCATTTTCATTAGTAACTGTCTTTATATAGAGACTCTAAGCAGAGTCTTTACTTCCTATGTCACTTGCAGTACTGGGGACTAACTATGCATTTCCTCTTAGTAAGAGCATGGTGTGAGTGTGAGAGGGCTTCCCTCATTCACGCTGTCTTTTGCACAATCATCTAGGGACAATTCTCTGCATTCTTTGTAAGTCTGCCTGGCTTAAGTTATATGAATGGTAAATAAATCTACCTAAATTCTAATTGCATTTACTTCAATGGGTATAATAATAATATAGTATTAATTATTTTAATAGTTAATAACTATCAATATGTCATATTTATTTGTAAATTTTCAGCCAATACTTCAGCACAGAAAATAAAAATTACCTTTAAAATGTTGATCAATTTCTGTAATTTATTTATTTTAATTATTATTATTATTATTGGACTGAGTCTTGCCCTGTTGCCCAGGCTGGAGTATGGTGGCACAGTTAGAGCTTACTGCAGCCTCAACGCCCTGGGTTCAAGTGATCCTCCCACTTCAGTTTCCCAAGTAGCTAGTATCACAGGTGCATGCCACGACACACAGCTGATTTTTGTTTATTTTTTCTAGAGAAGAGGTCTCAGTGTATTGCCCAGGCTAATTTTTGTAACTTAAAAGTAACATTAACTAAGTCAGAAAATATCTTGTGGAGCACAATAACAGGGTTATGTGATAGTAATGAGATTGACCAAAGAATGAAGATGTTCCAATTTCTCAAGTACCTTTTGAAAGTCTAAGTTTTTATTCTACATTTATAGAAATCCTACCAAAAGAGGAAATTAGGAAATAATTTACCTATTTAACAAGCTACATCCAGAGGTCAACACAGCTGAACATGAATATATTGTTTCTTCAATTTACACTTTTATTTTCTTAATGTTTATTTTGGAAATCATTGTCAAGCTATATAAAGCTTTAGGATAATCATCTTTATCATGTATCCTTATTTTTTAAATTTAGAATTTGGCTCTCATTAATGTCCTGTGAGGAATAAGTTTAAATGACAATGACTGCTGAAATAAAGACATTCTGGTAAAAATTGTAATCACTGGGAAGATCCACCCAGGTGCCTCTTTGGGACCTAGGGACTCATTTTTTAGCTGTTGGGAGTATCGACAGCTGATGACTTAAAGCTGAATTATTTTCCATGAATTGCCTTTGTTGGAAGAAAACTGCTTTACCCAAGCCATGACTCTCCCCAGGGTAGCCAATATTCCAATGACTGGCCCATGTAGGGGGATCTAAACTTGATCTCTCACCTTTATTATGGAATTTTTGAAGGACAAAACTCTCTGTAGGATTGGCCAAGGCTCTATTGCAATAACATTATAATTCAACCTCTCCTCCTGCTAAGTTCATCCTTCATACATGTTGTTTCTCCATCCCTAGTACCTCCTGTATGAAAATCTTAAACAGTCTCAAAATCTGTTTCATACGACCTATGAAAGAGGCTAAGATTCACATATATAGAATCAACTTTTCTTTACAGTATATGTTTGCTACAAAGATAAGCCAATTTACAGTGATATTTTCCCTCAAGCAATGGAGCCTGTAAGGATAGCCAGAGCCCAGAAGATAATTCATACCATATAAGACAATCTGTACTTCAGGGAGAGAGTGTTCTAATACTTCTACATCATTTTACAGAAAGTGACAGAATATGATTTTAGAAAAATTATTCTTGCAACGAAAGGAAGGGGAGATTGCAGAGATACAGAGATACATGTTCAGGCACTATTGTTTTAGTGCAGGTGAGAAGTAGTAAGGGCTGAAAGACAGATAATGCAGTGGGGGTTGAAAGGAGAAATATGAAGAGCCATGGAGGAACTAGACATAGGACTTAGCTGGTGACTGAATGTTACATGTGAGGAAGAAAGAAGAATCAAAGGGTAATTAGAAATTTCTAGATCCTTTGGTTGTCTGAGTCAATGGTTATATCCTTCACTGGGCTGTGATAACTGAAGAAGAAATAGACTATGGGAGAAAGATAAATTAGTCTTAGACTCCCTGATTTTCAACCAAAAATACTTAGGGAGAATGGAGTGATGTTGAAAGAGAGAGGAGAGTCTAATTTGACTAGTATATTAGAAACGTGAAGGCTTCTAGATTGTTTTATTTTCATAAAAAAATAAATAGCATTATTCAGACTTTCTATAATAAAATACCTATTCCATAATTTTCTCCCATTATCCTCAATCCCTGTGGTCTCTTCACTTGCTCTCTTCAAACCAGACAACTCAGATAGAAACTTTATTTCAGCATGTGTATCAATTTTTTTCTTGCATTTCTGGTCTAAGATGGGTCCCCAGAAAAGCAGTGGGAAAGCCTGATTATCTGGTTGCTGATATTTACGTTCAGCAGAGGCTAATTTTATTTCCAAATAGGAACTGAGGCAGCAGGAAAATCAGGGAATACAGAAAAAGGCACGTTGAGAGATTGACAACATTGCCTCAGAGAAAGCACCATTTAGGTGCCCCTGAATTTTCTTTGATTTACCAAGAAAAGCACTGAACAAGATTCAGTCATTCTCTCTCTCTTTCTCTATCTCTTTCTTCATAGATGTGCATGTATACACGTATATAACTTCACATCTATATAACTTTACTTATATTAATTTGACAGTATGGGCAATGTGTATTTCTTCATCATTTTTCAACTTGGCACAAATTTAGAATGGATTGTGATAAAAACAATTTGGAGAAAAATACCACACTTTAAGGATCTATACAATGAAAAAGACTATAGAAGGTAGATTACTACAGGGAAAACACTTGTGTATCTGCCCCATTAGTGCTCTGCTCAGCTTCTGAAGTGCAGAGACACTTTCTTCCTCAATTTATAAAAGCAAGTCGTACATGCTATCATAGCTAATTAAGTCAATTACTTTGATCTTTCTAAAATAATTTACAGCATGTGAATGCATTCCATCATACCTTTGGGGTAGGAAGCTATGAAACCAGGAACTTCTTCTCTTACTACTTTTCACTAAAAGAACCATATCAATAAACAAATTAGATTGTTCTGAATGAAATGACTGGCACTATTAACACTATTAATTCATGTGAAAACAACAGCTTCAGCAAAAACAATTACTTTTGTCATAGAAACAGTTCTTGTTAAAGGGTCTAGACTACTTTATCCAGAGTTTATATATTTTTATCACCTCTGCTTTAATTTTCTGTCATTTGTGATATTTTGACCTTTTTTTCTTTCACCAAGGTACTCTGTGAATGCTAGAAAAATAGTGAAAATCATGGAGCAACAAAAGAATTATCTTTTTTCTTATGTGAAGTATATATGGTGAGTGTAATTATAAATGTGTGGCCCAAATGACCTTGCTTTTGGATGGATGCCATCTATTCACCTGTGAGTTTTGGTTTCATGTCATGATGCCCACCTGCTGATGAATCCTAGGGTTGTATAACATGACACATTTCTACCTGCACCTACTCCTCAACTGCCCTACTTTCACAGGAATATTTATTTATTCAAAATGAGAAGTAACTGGGAATAACATCAAAAGAAGAGAACTCTGTTACTTGTAATTATTCATCATCTTAGCCTCTCTAGAATTCATTTTTCTAGAGAAGCATTAAAAATCCCTGGATCATATGTCAAAAAAGAATACATATTTCTGCCTATGGAGCACAGAAGTATCACTTTCATTTTAGATGAAAAAAGACAAAGTAATTCCATTCAAACTCTTTCAAAAGCTTTATAGATGACTTCTTTCAATTTTGACTTACTCCCAGGGCAAAACCCATATCCATTTTATTAAAAGTCATGGGTTTTATTTATTTATTTCTTTGTTGTAAAGCAAAACAAATGTCAAAGTGTAATTAGAAGTGACTTTTCAAGAATGGGTCCTGAGTGCCATTCAAAGAAACTTGTATTAGATGGAGAATCATTTCATCTGAGTCTCAGACCCTAGCTCTGGACATCTAACCAAAGGCAATTAAGTTATTTGTTGGATATATAAGGCTTAGAGGGAGATAGATTCAGGGCTGCAAATATAGAAAGTAATGCTTTCTAATACACTTGGAATTTCACATCAGGTTCTAAAGCAGTGAACTGGTTCTTGAATTCAACCCATGGAAAGAATGTCAAAGACTTAAATTCCTCATATGTAGTAGTAGGTGGTAAGGAGACGGATCTAGGTTGAAATGCCAGATCCCTCACTTAGTAGCTGGGTAAGTTTGCACATAAAAAAATCTCTTTGTGTCTTACTAATTTTATTTGAAAATGAGAATATTTCTATATACCTCGCATGGTAGATAGTAGAGCAAAATAACATAGGGAAAGCACCTGGTACATGGTAAGTTCTACATATTCATTAACCTTTGTATTTTAAAATCACTATTATTTGGAGAAATATATTAATAAGCATGTAATTTTGTTGTTTTCTTCTTTTGTTTACTCTGTTTTTGAGCTAATACAAAATATTGTATCCTTAAATCTGACTCACATGAATCAAAATTCTTCCCTGTTATTAAAGGCAATTGGTTTGTTGAAGGAAAATTGGCAGTTGTCCACGACATTGAAGGCAGTTCCCTAAGTTCTTCCTCCTGCAGTGGACATGCTCTTCCTGGCCAAGAGTTGACATGTCTTCGAGAGATTATTCCCTCACACAGCAGGAGAATTTTAGTTATCTCCATTTTATGCCACAGCTTATGTAACATTGTCCATGGAGCAAAGCTTTATTTATGAAGCTAAGCTTTATAAATCTATAGATTCTAGTTTTATTGACTATAAGGGATCCTAAGCCAGAGCCATCCTGTAAAGAACATTCCATGGATAAAGATCTTTCTGTTAGTCAATATTATTATTCTATTTACCTAGAACTCTGAAAAATTGTTGACAAGAACCAACTAAACAGATAGGATGTGTTTTGAGGATAATTAAAATAAAGGTCTTGGAATATAATACTTCTAGGTCTTTTTGTATTTACAAAAATTTTGGTAGGTTATATATAAAAACTATTTTTTAAACAATAGAAATATCAAAGTATAATACACTGTGCACGTATCAGCTCAGTTATCAGCTCACTTTGATTTCCAGAGTTTTGTGCTAAATAAAAATGTACCTATTCTACAACAAAAGAAATCATATGTTTTTATGCATATAAACCATAATTCTTTCAATGTATTTAAAGAGTACAGAAATATATCAAAGTACAAATATTTCTTAATTTAATTCCCAGAGATAGACATAATTAAAATTTACAGTGCATTTTTCTAGATGATTTTCTTTTTAAAAAAACTTTTATTTTTGTTACATAGGTAAACTTGTGTCATGGTTTTTTTTTTTTTTTTTTGGACAGATTACTTGGTAACCCAGGTTATAAGTCTAGTCTCCATTAGTAATTTTTCTTGATTCTCTCCCTCCTCTCACCCCCCACCCTCTGATAGGCCCTAGTGTGTGTTGTTCCCCTCTATGTGTCCATGTGTTCTGACCATTTGAATCCTACTTATAAGCGAGAACATGTGGTATTTGGTTTTCTGTTCCTGTGTTAGTTTGCTGAGGATAATGGCTTCTAGCTCCATCCATGTCCCTGCAAAGGACATAATCTCATTTCTTTTAAAGGTTTCATAGCATTCCATGGTGTATATGTCATACATTTTCTTTATCCAATCTACCACTGATGGGCATTTGAGTTGATTCCATGTCTTTGCTATTGTGAATAGTGCTGCAATGAATATGAGCATGCATATATCTTTATAACAGAACAATTTATACTCATTTGGCTTCATGCCTAGTAATGGGATTGCTGAATCAAATGGTGATTCTGTCTTTATATCTTTGAGGAATTGCCACACTGTCTTCCGTAATGGTTGAACTAATTTACACTCCCACCAACAGCGTGTAAGTGTTCCTTTTCTCCACAACCTCACCAGCATCTGTTATTTTTTTGCCTTTTTAATAATAACCATTCTGACTGCTGTGAGATATCTCATTGTGGTTTTGATTCGCATTTCTCTAATAATCAGTGTTGTTGAGCCTTTTTTCATATGATTGTTGGCTGCATGTTTTGAAAAGGGTCTAGACTATTTTCTACATATAGATGCAGATATGTACAATCTCTCACTCCTTCTCTGTATACCTATATATTTATATAAATATAATCATATTATGATTGCAAATGTGCAACGTGCATTTTTCCTCCTAAACAGTACTTCATAATCATCCTTCTTTATCAATATACATAATTTTAATGGCCACCTATTTTAAGTTTATTTTTAATAGTAGACTTAAGAAGACAAAATGTCTTGACTAAATTTTTAGAGCTCAATATTTCTTCCAATTTTCAATATATTAATAATTTATATTAAAAATTGCATTTTTACTATAGAAATGGTACGAGACATGTTCTACCATAACTTATCAATGGCAAAATTGTTGTGATGTTATACCCACCGTACATTTCATATAAATGATAATAGTAGCTAATAGTTATCAAGAACAGCCTATATTGTTTGCCAGATGATAATACAATCTTCATGCATATTACCACATTTAATATTCACAAGATTATAATAAAATAAGTACTGCTAATGTTTTCAATATATAAGAAAAGTTTAACATCTTATGCAAGATCAAACAAATTGTTAAAGATCGGAATGAATCCAAAGCCAAAATGTCAAGACTATGATAAAGATCATGAAAATCTGAGCACTTCCAAACTATATTGTGACAGAAAGTTAAGTTTGAATTCTTCCCTTTACCAAAGTCTTCAAGCATATGGTGATGAGTACTTACAGCCCTGGTTTCTCCTGGGAGAGGAAGACTTCAGCCTCTCCCTTTTAATCATCTTTCTTGGGGTAGAGCAGGAAAGAGGGAGAGGGGAGCTCTTGTTAGGAAGCAAGGCCCATTTTCATTCAATTCTAAGGAGTGCTGTGGCTGCTTATGTCTCAACCAAACAAATTGCAAACATTTTTATTATTTTTACCTCTGTATATAAAGCAGCAAGGTCATTGTAACTTTGGGAAACATTTTACTAAGCTTTGAGGACCCTTTGACTCAGCAGCCAGAGCCACACTGCTTCATAGGGAGGACTCCAGGGCTTGTACCTTTTGGCTGACTTGGACTTCACTTGCACAGTGTTTTTTTTGTTTTGTTTTGTTTTGTTTTGTTTTAACGCAACCTACTTTATACTGGTGCATTTTTTTTCCCTATTGTTGTGAGAATATCTCTTAGATTATTGCCTGCTCTTAGCATAAGGGCAAGGGAAGTTTTCCAGGGCAGTGGGACTGACAGCAAACATTTCTCTAGATTTCTTTGAGTTGGTTTCTCATTCTCTAGTGACTTATTTTCATCCCTAATTAAGCCAATCCGGGGCAATAAAAGTTCAAATACTATTCAATGCATAATCTATGGTTTACTATGAGGGTTCTTCTCTTGTAAATCTGAGAGCCAAAACTTCCTTAGAACAGTCAATATCCATTGAAAAAGTCTCCAAAAACTTTTACTGTCTTCTTCAAATGGATTGAAATTAGCATGATAGACTGCATGAGTGACTGAACCCTAAAATGGCCTAGCTGTTGCCTTCTTTATTCAAAGACATTACATTCTCCACTCTCTCATCTCCCTAGAAAATCAATCAAAGTTCTCATAATTCACCTGGTTTCAACCAATAGTCACAGATTTGCCTCCTTGCATACTAAGTGTAGGTGTGATTTTCTGTAACTGTAGCTAACTGGAGTTAGGAACTTCTGCCATGCAGTTACAAATCTTGAGGCCCCCTACCCTATTGGTGAGTACTGCCACCTGCAGGAGAGTTAACACATTTGGGACTCCAATTTGGCAGCTGTCTTTCACTGAACCCATTTACTTGTACTTGACCTACAACTGTCTCTCCAATTCTTCCTCTTTAACAAGGAATAAATTGGAAGATTATATTTGGCCTGGTTGGTCATACGGTTTGATCAACATATTCATTACCAGTTCACATGGGCTTGCCTCAAATCCCATTTATTGTCTTGAAGGTCCCTTATTTTTCTCTTCCAGATAGCCATGTGTTTGTCAGCTTCACATCCTTTTTAATATAACTACCAAGAAATGTAAAGGATCTGAGATTTTATTGTACTTCCAAGATAAGTTAGCCTACCTGTGGATGCTGGCAGAAAACAAGAGACGCCTGTGTCAGACACAAAAATCTTTATTTCTCTCAACAATATCAGTAGTCAACATATCAGCATTTTCTTGTTCCAGTCCCCTGGTGATATGAAGAGGAATAGATGATATCTGCTTACGCAGTGGTTTGAGGTGTAAGAGCTTAGGGAATCCAAATCATTTTTGAGCTTTGAGAACCAAAATCATTTATGGCAGCAAACCTGACTGCCTTTTGCTCCATAGGAGACATTAACATTATTATACTGGATAGTGAGTGTCTCTGACTTTTGCTCCAGAGGAAATACTACATCTATTTTCTGAGGGTGTTCACTATACAAAAATTTGTGGAAAAGTAAAAATATAGTCCAGAAAAAAAAAGAGCAGTAAGTCCCTCTACTCGCAAAACATTTCTCTACAGAAATACAAGAGAAAGATGAAAAATGGTCTCCTAACAGCGTCAGGTTAGCTGAACAGTTTGCCCAGGTAGAAATTTTGGATTATTTTATCTACCTGCAGTGTTTTTGAATTTAAAGTTTCATACAAATCAAACGGGGATGTTGTTTGAATGCCGATTGTGACAATAGATTGAGTTTGGGGCCAAGGATTCTGCCTTTTCAAGAAGCTCTCAGGTGTTCCTACTGCTTTGTGGACAAAACTTTAAATTGAAAGATTATAGTATGCACCAAAGTTCTGACATTTCAATCTCATAAACTATAGGTCACCATTGAGTCAAGGCTTCAATTAGCTAACCTTGTAGACTTTTAACACATTAAATCCTGACCCTTGGGTAATCCCACTGTTAGCAAGCTTTTTGTTTTTTCTTGCTTGGGCAGCTACCACTTTTAGCATCCAATGCCCCACACACACACTGTATACTCCTGCCTATACAGATTCATGAAGTCTCACATTTTTTTCTCACATAGGTTATCTCCTCTGGGGTTAAGCTTTGTACTTCTGTGTCTGGGCTATTTAGGAATCTGATTTCCATTATGGCTCTGGAGGCCTTGGGTCAACTGTCTTAAATGCAAACATTGAGTGATTTTTTTACTTCAGAAAATGCTGACTTCATCACAAAGTGAGGGTAGTATATCTATGTTCATTCACAAGGGAGCTTCAAGACGATTTAAAGATGATTTAAATTTCAAGATGATTAAATTTCAAGATGATTTAAAATTTCAGACTTTTATGTCTTATCTATGACTTCCCACATGTTTGTATTCATGTGGGAAGCATCATGGGATGAATCATGTGGGATTCATGTCTTAGCATCTCATTTATTTCCTGCCAGTGCCCTTAGCTGGTTGAATTGAATATTTAATTGACATTGCAACTCTAACCATTATAATCAGGCATTGGGCTTGGTTCTCAGCCATGTCAGCTTCCCAACTACAGGAAATAAAGGGCTTTTCAAAGCTCCTGAAGAAGCTTTCCAATTGTCCACTTTCATTCTCTGTTGGACAGTCAGACATCTCAAGTTCTCTGTTACCTCTTATACATTTTCCAGGAGTTCAAAAGTTAGATCATGACATCATCATTGGCATCTTTGTAATCAATATTTTAGTTATTTTTGTTGCAGTAGCAACTCAGTGCCACAGATATTTGATTTCATTACTTCTTGCATTCACTCTGCACTTCATTCCAAAAGTTACGGATTGAATGTGCTCCCCCACCACCCGTTTCATATATTGAAGTCCTAACTGTATTGGAGGATAGGGCCTGTGACTGTGTTTACAGATAGATCCTGTGAGGCAGTGAGTAAAGTTAAATGAGGCCATAAAGTCCTTAATCCATAGGTCTAATGTCGTTGTAAGAAGAGGAAGAGAAACCAGAGTTCTCTCTCCTGTGCATACCATCAAGGAAAGGTCATGTGAGCACGCAGTGAGAAGGTGGCCATCTGCAAACCAGGAAGAGAGCTTCACCAGAAACTGACCATGCTGGCATCTTGGTCTTGGACTTCCAAGCCTCAAGAGCTGTAAGAAAATTAATTCCTGTTGTTTAAACCACCCAGCTTATGGTATTTTATTATGGCAGCCTAAGCAGACCAAGACATAAAGCCACCACTAGTGGTAATTTGAATTATTATCATACTACCACCTGCCATGGATTATTCATTATTCATTTCCTTCTACCAGAAAGAATATCCCTTCACTCCGTGAACATATAAGCAACTCAATCCCAGAATTGCATTTTGACACTCTTTCCTGAGGCCAGTGATGGTTTCAATTATTCTATCAGTTAGCACTGTAAAAGATAATCAGATGTTAAACTCAAATTAGGTAATTTGAGAAGAATTTGATTAAAAGTCTATTTAATGTCATCTGCACAGGGCATTTGAGAACTCACAAGAGATGGTTCATGTCATTACTGGGGCTGAAGAAATAAGAAAAAAGAATGGTTATTGGAATCTGAAAACTGGGAGTGCCGAGTGGATAGAGCTGTGTAACAGGACCTGTGGCCTTAGGCAAGTGACTTAGCCGTGCCATGCCAACTCTGTTGGGAGAGTCAAGGTATTTCACATTTTTCCCTCCCTCAAATCTCATTATCGCTTGTTTGTCAAGCTTTTTTATCTTCCCCAAACAACTGTTTGCACGTTGATTATATTGGAACCCTTCCTTTATTCCAGGGATGGACACATATTTCAAATATGAAATTGCCTTTTTTGTTCATTTTTTTTTCAATGTAACCATTTATGAGCTTTCATATACCTTAACTTTCAGTTTGGATCTCATCTACAGATAAATTACCTGATAGAACTTAGTATGATCCCTGTGTTATGGATACATGTTTTCTGGTGGAAGGACAAGAGTGGAAGCAAAAGGACAAAGGAGATCAACTGGGTAGAATAACTCATCGATCCCACCAGGCCTCCTTCCACCATTCTCCATCCTACTTTCTACTCTGACAGGCAGACTTATATGGAAAAAAGGGAGAGAGTATTACTGGAGTCTTTACACCCCTGACTTCCTTTCTGCTGGGTTGCTATAGCCTGACTTCCATTCTGGACAGAAGATCAGAGCTTTCTGTGAACCAATCCTTTTCACACAGAGCTCTCTGCTTCTGGGATTAGCTAACTGCCCCTTCATATCCAGGGTAGATAATCATACCCCAATTTTTATTAGTCCTGCATTACTCTTTCTTTTATGTTTTTCTATACCCTTGCCACACTTTGGTAAATAGTTCCTTTATCAAATTGTCTCTGATTGTCCAATTTGAGTGTGCCATCTGTTTCCTGTTAGGGCTCTGAGGATACGTCCTCTGTGCTGTATTGGCTTTCTGGTTCATTTGGTTCTCTCAGCAGCCCTGAGAAATATGTTGTTATAACACTTTAAAGGTAAGGATACAAAGGTTTTAAAAGCTTGGCATATTTTGTACCAGCTTCTTCTGAATTAGCTTCTTCTGAATTATTATTTTAACAAGTTGAAATCACATAGCACAAATTACAATTTTTAATCTTATTTTTTCTTTGCTTATGTCATGAAGTTTTCTTTATAAATATAACTCCAAGGGCTACATAAAAATTCATTTTGTGGGAGAGACTTAATTTACCAAACTGATTCTCTTATGCTAAAGATTTGGGTCATTTTATCTTTTTCACTATTCTGGTGATGAACATTTTTTGGGGGGTAGCACAATCTAAACTTATTTCCTTATTCATATATACGTATATGTATCTATATATTCAATTTTGAATACTCAAAATCACAGTGTATATAAGTTATATTGCAGAGGGAGCTTCTGACTCTTTCTTTGGCTCAAATGTTTCTTTTTAAACTCTGCTGAAAATATAGGGACAATATTACTGATTCCACACAACGAGTTTGCTTCTAGAATAAATTTCCTGGAGCTGACTCTTATTAGTTTATTTTGAGCAGATTAGCAACAGTGCTAATAATAAGGCCTTATATTTAAACAGTGCTATAGAGCTTACAAAGCAAATCTTATATGGCCAACTAAACTGGCCTGTGTACTACGCTAGACATAAACATGCAAATAATAGCAAATACCCATGTGGGCCACATCTAATTCCAGAGTTTCCAATTTGCTAATTCATGTTAGTTTCATTTTCCCATTTTACAGATGAGAACATTGTATCTTAAAGAAAATAAAAGGGCACAGCCATAGAATTAAGCTGATAACTTTGGTTTCTCAATTGTTGATGCAAAGATCCTTGCTCCTTTTTCTAAGTCAAGCCAATGGCATATCAATGGCTATTGATGGAAATGTGCTTTTTCTTAAAGTATCTTAGTGCTGGTCAAGTCTCCAGAAGATCATTAAGAATAATATCTTGTTCATTAAAAATTATTTATAGATCATCCCAAGAGAAACACTTGGTACTAACACTTCCTCAGGGAATGTACTCCAAAAAGCCTAGCAGTACATTGCTGGCCTCCTAATTAGCAGGTTAGGACAGCTCTGTGCATCTCTTGGGGGACTCATAAAAGATTACAATTAATTGGGAAAGTCAGTCCTTAAAGTACATTCTATAAGGAGAGTTCAAACAGAATAGCTGTCTTTTTTATGCTTCTTTAGTTAATGCTAACTAAGTGACATCAAAGTTAGAAAACTTTTTTATTGAACCTTAATTCCTTATACAGATGCTTGTTCAGTGTTCTCATTTTTAGGAGAGTGGAAGGGAAACCAAAGCTACAGGGAATTGACAGATCCTGGATGACCTATGTCAAAAGATTTGGTGGATCCCCCCTTTCCCTCAGAATCCCCACTTTCAGTTACTGTAAATGGTAAAGCCACAGGTCGTGATAAGATGAATAAAGATGGAAACGGACAGTTATGATGAGCAATATCATGAGCCTTATTTTATGACCAGTATTCATTTCTTTATATCTCTGCTTCCTCACTTGTTTCTGCTTCTTCTCACCTACATATATACTCATGTGCCCTTTCTTCCAGTAAAAAAAAATCTTAAAATGCATTTCTTACTTAAACTATTATTTTCCCCCATCTTGATATTGCCAAATTCTTGAAATAATAATATAATCCAATGTTTCTCAGACTTTAAAGTGCATTCGGATCAGGAGGGGATCTTGCTAAAATGCAGATCCTGACTACATATGTATAAGACGGGTCTGAATTTCCACATTTGTATCAGGCTCCCAGGTGACATTGATGCAGCTGGTCTGTGGTATAGTGCGCATAGAAAAATTCAAGTTACTATTGACAAAACTCTCACAATGTCCTACGGACTGAATGTGTACCGGTAAAATTCAAATTTTGAAGATTTAATACCCTACATAATGGGATTTGGAAGTGAGGCCTTTGGGGGGTAATTAGGGTTAGGTTAGGTTATGGAGGTGGGACCCTCAAGATGGAGTTAATGCCTTTATAAAGAGAAAAAGAAACATGAGATAGATCTCTCTTCTTCTTCATGTGAGAATACAGCAAGAAAGGGCCTATCTGTAAACCAGGAAGAGGGCCTTCACCTTACACAGAGTCAACTGGCACCTTGAACTTAGACTTCCCAGCTTCTAGAATCATAAGAAATAAATGTTTGTTGTTTAAGCCTGCCAAATTCCCTCTTCCCCCACCCCAGGATATAGTGTTTTTGTTTTTGTTGTTGTTGTTTTTATAGTGGTCCTAACTAAGACACCACTTCACTAAATTACTGCCTAATCTTTCCTATTTTCTCTTCACTTTTCAGCCCTTTGCATCAAGTGTCCTCTCTGCCAGTCTTTTAAACATAGCAATGACTTTCGAGTTACCAGCTTTTCATGATCCTTAACATAACTCCTTGATTACTCAGCTCGTGATCCTGATTAGCATTCTTCCTGTCTTTACTTCTGTGCCTGTATATTATTCTAGTATGCCTTTCTTCCCTTCTTTTCTGAAATTCTCCAGAGTCTCTCTTCTTTCTTCTGCTGGCCCAATGAGTGCAATTCCCAGACTATGTCATTCATTCTCTTTTCTTTGCTCATTGAACTTCTTTATTATCTCCTTTATCCTGAATTCTTTTCTATTCTCAATATTTCAAATTCTATACTCTAATCTTTAATTCTGATTTAATTATTACTCCCAAATTGTGAATCTTATCCTGCGATTCTCATTTGAATATACTGATGATTCCTTAAGCAGAATATATTCCCAAGTAACCTAATCTTTGGATATTCAAAGAACACATCCCTCATATGCCTGTCTCCAGGTCTTTTGTCATAATTAGTATGGGCTTAAGATAAACCATACCTAATTTTAAAATAAACTTTTAATTTTACAACAGTCTTAGGTAGACATACAAAAATTATTGCAAAGAGAGTACAAGAATTCTCATATACCACACACTCAGCTTACCCTATTATTAACATCTTAGTAATATGGTGTATCTTTCACAAGTAATGAACAAATACTGATGCAAAATCTTTAACTGAACTCTATACTATATTCAGATTTTCTCAGTTTCTCACAAATGTCCTTTTTCTATTTCAGGATACAATTCTGGTTAGCACATTAGATTCATTAGTCACATCTCCTTAGGCTCATCTTGATTGTGACAGTTTGCCAGGTGTTCTTTGTTTTTAATGACCTTGAGAGTTTTGAAGGGTATTAGTCAGGTATTTTGCAGATTGTCCCTCACTTGGGAATTTACTAATTTTTTTTTCTCATAGTTAGAGTGTATGTTTTTTTACAGAAAGACCACAGAGGGAAAGTGCCACTCTGATTCCATCATGTCAAGGGTACTGTTGATAAAAACGTTAATTACCTGGCAAAGATAACTTGCCAGTTTCTCTACTATAAAGTTACTACATCTTTTTCCTTCTCAATACTGTCCTTTCTGCGTGAAAGTCACTATGCACAGTCCACACTTAGAGTAGGGAGTTATGTCCTCTACTTAAGGATGAAATATCTACATAAATTATTTGCAATTTTTTCTCATGGGAGATTTAAAGTGCTTTTGTTGTGAATGAGAATAGAGTAAGCTTCATCTATACCTGACTTACATTAGAGGCCTATCAACATTTAAGAATTATTTATCTTATATTATTAATGTTCTGCTATGACAGAGAAAGTGAAAAGTGAGCACCTAGATATCCTGCTGTGATTGTGACATGGATTATCTCAAGCAATATTATTTTTCAGGACTGCTGGAGGAAATTGAGATAAGGATAATTACTGAGTTTTTATGGGCACTATATTTTACTCTCAGATGGTACCAGCTTTACACAACATAAAAATGCTTCTTTTTAAGCAGCAATACTTTCATGTTTACATTGAGAAAAGGACAAACTAAGATATTTGTACATAGTTTTCTTTAGATATTTACTTTCTAGCTATTGTTGAACATGTCTCTGGAGGAATACGTATCATATGGATCATAGCATATGATGCCAATCACGCTTCCTACTTCAAAAAAAGAGTATGTAACAGAAAACGTGACTCTCCTTTGTGGCTCTGACTGGCTTTCTATGGGGTTATATCATTTGTATTGTACCAAAATGTCATATGGGTCATTTTAGAAAAACTTGAGGAAACAATTCTGTATCTTAGATATAAGCACAACATTTATTTTAAAAAAAAAAAAGCATGTGGGTCAGCTGGTCAGTAGAGGGAGTGTAGGCACAGAAACTTTGACTTAACTATTTTGATTTCTATACAAGATAGTGCCTCACAGAAATTCCCCCAATAAACATTTTTTGAAATGTTCCATTTTGAAGGGAGAATAGTGATTTCATCACCATCACAAAATACAGAATTATAACATCTGCTTCACAATGTAGCTTATATCTTTTTTTGACAGTTCTAAAACATCTCTAAATATAATTTATTTTTCCATTCAGATACCACACTTGTGACTAAAATCACTAGAAACAAGATTTCATAAACTTTAAGAATAACTTTTTCTTCCTCTCTTCCTTCTTTCCTTCCTTCTCCATGAAAACAATAAAGTCCAAAACAACAAGGCTGTTAGTCTCATGATAAGATAAGCATTGCCAACAATCTTTTAAATCAGTCACTATTCTTGGTCTTTACAATATATAATTGTTTTTCATAAAATATTCCAATGGCTCCTCACCTTTAAATAATTATTTGGGGTGGGGTAAAACTTCATTGACTGATATAATCGGGATAGAAACACTTTGCCATCGCCCAGGATTCTGAAGCACTTTTCGCTTGAAATGCATTTTGCCTTTTTGCACCTAGACAAAAACTATCTGCCTTTAAAATTGAGTGTTTCACCTTCTCCATGTAGCATTTTGTGGCTTTAATTGATATAGTTAACATTTTCCTTTTTCTTTCTTTTTAGAGCCCACACAGTTAACCCCACTCTTTTGTGACTTTTATGTATTTACTCAATTCAAAATCATTACTGAGTATTTACTATTTGTTGGGCATCAAGTTAGGAAGTAGTGACAAAAAGTCATAGTTCCTGCAGCTTATGTGAGTGAATGTGTCTGCTTGTGTATTATCTCCATTTATATTGCACATTTCAAATGGCAAGGGTCATAATTTGCAGTTTTGCTATATCCCTTTTAGTCCCTAAGCAGTACAGCCCCATAAAAATATTAAATGTTCCAAAGCTATGTTATAAAAATATTGAATGAATATTTTTGGATTTTCCTTGAAACAAATACGTAAGGAACATAAATGTGCTTAAAATTATGTTTATTGCGGCATTATTCACAATAGCAAAGACTTGGAACCAACCCAAATGTCCAACAATGATAGACTGGATTAAGAAAATGTGGCACATATACACCATGGAATACTATGCAGCCATAAAAAATGATGAGTTCATGTCCTTTGTAGGGACATGGATGAAATTGGAAATCATCATTGTCAGTAAACTATCGCAAGAACAAAAAATCAAACACTGCATATTCTCACTCATAGGTGGGAATTAACCAGTGAGATCACATGGACACAGGAAGGGGAATATCACACTCTGGGGACTGTTGTGGGGTGGGGGGAGGGGGGAGGGATAGCATTGGGAGATATACCTAATGCTAGATGACGAGTTAGTGGGTGCAGCGCACCAGCATGGCACATGTATACATGTGTAACTAACCTGCACAATGTGCACATGTACCCTAGAACTTAAAGTATAATAAAAAAAAAAGAATACGTTCATATGTTTAAATAGAAATATCTTAAATAATTCACAAACCAGTCTTTTATTATCCTTCAGCATTCCCAAATTATTTTAGTGCTAATAAAGAAAAACTGTTTTATGTATTGTGCATTTTTATTAATTTTTTTAAAATGGTTACTGCCATCTTGCATTAAAGGCCTAAGGAAAATGATAAAGGTGTAGGCACTGGAATGAATTAAAAGAGCTGTTGAACTGAACATTTGTGTCCACCCAAAACTCATATTTTGAAGCCCTAATCCCCAATGTGATGGTGGTTGGAGGTGGAACCTTTGGGAAGTGATTAGGTTTAGATGATATTATGAGGGTGGGGCCCAGGGATGGGATTAGTGTCCCTTATTAGAAAAGAGACACCAGAGTGTGTGTGTTTTTTTCTCTCTCTCTCAATCTCTCTCTCTGTATCTCTCTCTCTCTTTCTTTCTCTGCCATGTGAGGACATAGTGAGAAGGTGGCCATCTGTGCCAGAAAGAGAGCCCTCGGGAACTAAATCTGCCAGCACCTTGATCTTAGGTTTCTCAGCCTCCAGAACTGAGAAATATATGTCTGCTGTTTAAACACACACAAATACACACACACACACAAACACACACACACACACACGAGAGCTCTTGGTTCAGGAAGAGAGTGGAGGAGCTGAGTAGAAAAAAATTAAGGTAGAAAAAATGACAGTTAAGTGATATACAATACAAAACAATAAAAATAAATTAAAAATGATTTGATTTTTATATAGATGTTATTAATTTCTTCTTAAATAATCAGTTGATAAACACATCCTTCAGAAAAATCCCGGATAGGAATACCTTGAAGAAATCTAAGATCTGAAAGTTTGAATAAGAACTGAAATTCTGATATTTTCTCAACAACAAAGATGAAAAAAAATTGGCCAAAGCCATTTTTCAATTAAAAATGTTTTATTGGTACAAAATATTAATGTTTGTACATCTTTATGAGGTACATATAACATTCTTAATAAATATAATGTTGACTAAATGTTCTTTAACAATGTTGGACAATTCTCTTGAAGTTATTTTTCTTTTAAGCAGAAGTAGTGAGACAACTAATGAAGGGAATGTATTTAGAATTTATGGACGTCTTAACTTTTCCTTCATGATTAACACAAGCACAGATATATATCAAAAAATGATGGCAATAAAAGGGAACTTCTAGCAGCAATATAAGAGGAGAATAGCAAAAGACAAATGGATATGGTGAATCACAGCTGGGTTGTAAACCCATCTCAGTTTTTAAGTCTGTTTCTAATTTCCTTGATAGGCTTCTAGAGAATATATTCCAGAACACAGCTTCAGGTATGCCACCCCAAACCTCAGAACTGAAGTTTTGGAGCAGAATCACTGTTAGGAGCCATGGAAGTTGACTTACTTGTCATCTTCCTGACAAGTACTATAAAGACAGGCCAGGAATGTGTGAACAGAAGATAAGTAGGATCAGATGTCATGGATGAGGAGATTCAGTTTACAGAGCAATGAGTAACGAGCTTTACTGTCCTTCCTGGAACATATGGTATATAATCACTCTCCAGCGATCCACAAAACAGTAGTGACAACACAACACCAATATTAATCATTTATTTTTTTTCATCTGAGTAAAATATAAGGTGCTTTGATATAAATTATCAGATGTGAATCCCATGTTTTTCCTGGATATAGGCAGAAATATATTTTCAAAGAAGAAAACCAGTACCCCTAATTATTGAAAGATTGCTCAAGGTCATTTAGCTAGTAAATGGCAAAGCTGAGACTTGAACCAAAGTTACCAGCCCTTCATTTAGTGTCTTGTATGTTAATTACCATCATGACTCAAGCCTGATCTATTATTCAGACTTCACAAAACACAGACTCTATTTTATCATAATCATGCCCCCTCAAATTCAGTAAATTATTATAAAGCAAATCAATCTTAAGCAAACACATACATAAATTAATGATTTTTAACTTGTGATGCTATATTTTGAAGCTTTTTAAAAAGTCGATATTGCTTATGCATAATTTATACACTTGCTTTAAAGCCTCTAACTGCTGAATGGACATATCAAGTAGATATAAAGGATTATTATAACCTAAATTATGTATCCCGAAAAACATATTTAAGTAAAAATAGGTTCCACATCCTTATTTGCATAAGTAATATAAAATATTATATAGTGAATAAGATTTTTAGATTTTTTTAAGAATGAAGTTCTTAGTAATGTCTGTGACTATAGCTGTTTGTCCTATAAATGATAGGTATTGCAATTACAATTATATAATGTAATGCAAACTTATATGATGTCCTTCCACAGATGATGAGATTTCTTGCTGATCTAAATCAGTGAATACAGTCCATTCATCTTAAACTTGCTCCTAATTGTTCAAACCCAAGGCAGGCAACTTAGTAGTGAGATAGTATTATATTAATATAAGTGAACCTGATGACCTATGGTTTGTGCATGAAATGAGCAACTTAGGTCATTACAAAAAAATGTTTACTGAAAGCTCCCCAAAGCAACTGGTATGTAAACCTTTAAAATGTTAGAAGAGTTCAGGAAACCAAAGTTGGTATTTTTATGGAATGTTTAATGCCAGACATAAATATTTTAGAACAGAGCTGCTCAGTCATCTGAAGTTTATGATTTGGTTCAAAACCATTTATCTAGTCAGAAGCTAGTCCTAAACTATAGTTTAATATTTCTGTTGTACAACTGCAGCAAAAGAATATTAGTGATTCTCAGTTTGAAGAATTCTGTATAGCTAAAATAGTTAAAGAATGTAAAAACTGTTAGAGGTGATTAATAAAATCCATATAAACATGTGCATCTTACTGAAGAATAATCATTGACTTTTCAGTAATCTCAGAATTATATACTTTTAAGTATTTTTCCCATGACCAAAATAAGGACCTTTGCTGAAGCCTCACGAAACAAAGAAAGAAGGTAATACATATTAATAGAGCTGTTTACATGGTTCTGTAACTGAATTTATGCTTGCAATAATACAGGAATACTCTCCAAATTGCTGGCAAGGAGAAGAAATGGGCTTTATTAATGTCTACAATTTCAAAGTGCTGCTCTAGATTTTACTCAGAAAATCATTGCTTAGAATCAGTGGAATGTGTAAGACTGTTTTCCTTTAGTTTCTGTTCTATACCTTATTTCTATTACTCTTTCATTTCGAAAATTTCAAGGTTAAGCAGCTAGCTCTTTTATTGTATAATATAATAAAATGAAATTACGTTAAAAAGTAAAGTTTTGGCTAAGATACTGGATAATGCTAAGGTATCAATTCAATTACTGTGCTATCATAACACAGAAGAAATCTGTAAAATGAAGTTATCTTTTTCATGTCCTAGAAGAGGATAAAATGTGTTCTTTATTAGAATGAAGACAAGGACTTTATATTATCCACTGCTGAATACCAAAGGCCCCAATCAGTATCTGGTATAAAGTAGATGCTTAAGAAAATCTTTTGAATAAATTAAGGAATAATTATAATAAATCCACTAGAACCTATGTTCGCAGCAGGCAGAAGTATAAGACTGTAATATTTGCTTTACATTTCCCCAAGATAGTGTGCCAGTGCACCAAACTCAAAATGTCTAAAATCAAACTAATTATTTTCTTCCACAACAGCTTCGTTAATGTTAATTCCCTATTCTGATTAATATTACCATATATTTCCTGACACTGGATAAAATCTCTGTTATATTTTACTCCATATCATCATTTTAACCTCTTTAAAGGGAAATGTGGGTCTAGTCTCACTTCTCAATATTTTTTCATTTGCTACATACCTGCTAATTCCACTGCCACTGTTACAATTTGCATATTTAGGTTATTTATTTATTGATTTAGTCATTTAGGTTAGATATTTCCAACAAGAGTAGGAGTCTCTTATCTGTTCTCCATGCCTTCAATTTCTGTTCTTTTAATGTCACCCTGAAATAATAGGAGTAGTCAGTTGCATCAATTCAGATTAGGTTATGCTGAACATTAGGGACAAAGAAATGAGCATATAAAAGCATGCAAATATAAAAATAAAGGTTTTTTTTTTACTCTTGAACATATAAGGGATTCAGAATTAGGGTATACTGGGATGGTTTGGCAATCTCATGCCTATGGAGAACTAGATTCCTTCCATTTTGTTGTTCTACTCTCCCTCATGAGCAACCTGATGATCCAAGAGGCTGCTTGAACTATACTTAACATGTTTACATTAACAGTTAACGGTGTATCACTTAACATGTTAGGAAAATGTAAGTATACCTCTTGAAAGGACATTTTCCATAAATCATACACAGTGTTTCTGCTTAACATCATTGGCCAGAATATAAGCATGGGGCCACACCTAACTCCACAGAAAGCTGGGACATGTAGAATGCCCAGGAGGAAATGGCTAATATGATAAGTTATAATATCTGCCAAATGAAGTGTTTTACAAATATTATCATCTTTAACCCCCACAAAACACCCTGTAAAAGTGATGCTAATACTCCCATGTTTAGATGCTAAAACAAACATCCCAGGAGAGGGTAAACAATTCTACCACTTCATTCTCTTCAGCCAACATTTGGTGCTTTTTACCACTCTGTCTCTTTTTGCACTATCATGCTGCTCCTTTCTGGCAGGAACTGGCTCTTACACTTTTGAGATGCTCAACAAAAGCTGCGTGTATGGATGCATCATTGGTCAAGATTGCAAGGTAAGAGTTTACTTGCATCTGAGAACTTCATAGTTTCTAGCTAAACATCAACTTAATATCTAGTTGTCAGAATATTTGCCTCTTCACACATACATCATTATTAGGAAAGGAAAACCTTTAATATCACAAATTTCTTACTGCTAAATTAGAAGCCAAAAGATTTAGGATACAGGAGAATAAAGAGGAAGAAAGGGTTGGTAGTTTAAAACTTATTTTTATTTGTAAATGTCAAAAAAAGTTAATTATTCAGCCTATTTTCTTCGTGTTTGATAAACTTTATAATCTAAGCTTTTAAGAAAAGGGGAAATAATGCTAACTAAAATATGTGAATAGGGCCAAATTATTCAAAATTGAAGAAGAATTAACTGAGGAAGAATCACTGAACAAACTTCATGGTTTTGATACATTAGTTACTGGGAGTAATAAGAACACTGGCATTCCTCTTTGATCACTTAATTATAATATTGTTAAAAACTTGGAAGAAAGGGTATTTAGTTGTTGCAAAAGTCATACATATAAATTACATTTAGTTGAGAATTGTTTGGTTTCCTACACTGTCTACTCCCATCTCCAAGTATATATTAGCCTACATTTTTTTGTTATTAATTTATAGAATTCACTAGTTCAAGAGACGTTTAATCTAACTTAGTAGATTTACTCAGTTTTATTTCTCAGTCCATACTCTAGGTGCTGTAGAATGCCACTTTGCTCATCCAAAAAGAAACATTTTTATCTTCTTCACTAATTACTCACTTTTCGTGTCCAGAGTAATGCATTACTGATTTACAGCCATATTTTTTTCTATATAAAAAGGAAAGATAATTGGTAACACTTAAGAACACAGGTAATTAAACAGCATGGCTGAATATCTAAGTTGCTTAATTTACCAGAAATCATTAATGTATAGCACTACTTTGATATATTTTAAAATTATAAAATTATGACATTTAGAGTAATTGTTTCTGGTTTTGGTGATTATTCATACTCCTTTGTATTTAACCTTATGTTTACTTGACAGTAGAATGGTTCGTTCTTCCTAACCAAATAATCAACTTATATTTGTGTATTTAATTAACGTTAATTTATTTTATTAATTTGCTCAATAACTATTGGTGAAGGAAATGTTCTATCTTATTTTGGGCTTTTATTTTATTTAATTTTGGAGACAGGGTCTGGTTCTGTCACCCAGGCTGGAGTGCAGTGGCATGATCACAGCTCACTGCAGCCTCCCCCCACACCAGCTCAAGCAATCCTCCCACCTCAGCCTTCTGAATAGCTGGGACCATAGGCACATGCCACCACACCCCCTAATTTTTATTTTTTTTCTTAAAGACAGGGGTCTCTCTATGTTGCTGAGGCTTGTCTTGAACTCCTGAGCTCAAAGGATCCTCCTGCCTCAGTCTCCCGAAGTGCTAGTATTACAGGTGTGAGCCACTGCACCTGCCTTATATTGCACCTATTTTAAGCCACCATTTTAAATGGTTTTAGAAAGTGAAAAAGACAAATTTTCTGTCCACAGCTGAGATGTTGGAAGAAGATATAGGAATAATTGAGTATGCACACAGAAGTAAGCAGAATAAGAGAGACTTAGATAACGTGCTAGGGAATCACAGAAGTGAGTCATTAACTTATTTGATAGTTCCTAAAACTGTTTCATCAAACAGATAAAATTTGAATTGGCATTTAGAATGAGTAAATGTTTTTCAGATGGAGGATTTGGTAATAGCATCCTATTTAGAGAGTGCTTAAAGTGAGCCCATGATGCATCAGATACTTAGGGGCAAGGTCAAATACAGCCAGAGTACAGGATGTGTGACAGTATAACAGGCTTTATCTAGACTCTAAAATAACTCCTATTATATCACATCTTGTGAAGCACAGTAGACATTGGAATAACCAAATCCTTAAATGTCAAACATGCTGCCATCCAATGCAGTGACAATTCTGGAAAATGCTCTGATTCTTTTCACTTCCAATGGCCCTACAATGGCTTTTCCACAGCCATTATTCTTGATAACCATTGTCCTGTTTGGCTCTCCTGCTCTTGTCACCACAACTGATGCCCAAATTCTGCATCCAAGTTTCAAGTCCTAGATCTCAGATTAGGAATTACATTCCTCCCTTGATTAATTCAGCTCTTTCGACCAAATAGCTGGAGCTCTAAATTGTTGGAGAAATCCCCTAAAAATTAAATTAATTATTTCTAATGTAACATGAATATATGACTTAAAGTGAATTTGCTAGAGGTAGCCAATATTAAAATCAAAATTACTTGTTCAAATTGACTCAAATAGGTGTCCAAAATAGGATATGTCCCTTTGATCTCAAGTGTTTTCCTTGCATTTTCAGAATTCTATTCTCACAGTCTCCACTGGTATATTTTTTTGCTTTTTCCAAACGTGTTATATATACATACTGTCATAGAAGCAAAATCATTTATTTAAACTATTTAAGTGTAATTAACATATAAAAAGCTGTGCATATTTAATGTCTACATCTCAGTGAGTTTGAGGAAATGTATACACCTTTAAAACTATCACCACCATCAAGATCATAAACATATCTCTCACCTTCCAAAGTCCCCTCCCTCCTCCTTTATTATTATTCTGAAGCAAACCTTTTAAATTGACATTTATCTTTAGTATTCCATCCTATTTAGCTATGTGGTATTATTCACTAAGCACATTCATAGCCCTTCTGCCTGTCCATCTAATGAGAGGCAGAGTGGAATAATTTGGAATCACATAATATAGGGTTTTCATATTCACTCTGCCGCATACTTGCTTTGTGATTTTGTGCAAGTCACTTAACTCTCTGATCCTCAGTTTCTTCACCTATGAAGTGGAGATAGTGATGGTACTTTGCAAGGGTTTTGTGAGGATTTAATAAATATAAAGTTCTTATTACAATGCTGGACATCACAGACACTCAACAGTGTAGCTTATTTTTGAAACGATGATTATTGCTCTGAGCTTCCTGCTTTACTTCCAAAATATCTACTATGGTTTTGATATTTTCCATTAGTAATCTGTTTAAAACCTTAATTAAACTAAAGTCTATCCTTTTCTTTCTATCAGCCAAGTTGTGACAGGAAAATAGAAAACACACTGGGCATTTCAACAAAGAACTTTTATAGAAGGAACTATAGAAGCATAGGTATGGAGAGCTGAAAGGGTGAAAAGAGAACATGAGGGTAATAATAGCAGGAAGCAAGTGTCACCCCCAGGAAACAGACTGTAATTCTTAGAACCTAGTCTTAGAGGAAGATTCCAGTGGAGTTTGACCTCAGACCTTTGAGGAGGAGTACTGCTGGCTGATCGTGCTGTTAGAGATTATGCAGTGAGGCTGGTTCTGAGAATAGCAAAGAAGCTGAAGCCTGCAATCAACAGCTGCTATTAGCTTCATGTCTTCCTTCAGCACCCTCCATTGTCAGAGCCTGACAGAAAGCCAGCAGTCCAAAGAGAAATACAGTTTGCAAAGTTCCAGCCCAAGCCTCACAAAGCACAGCCTAGATGGGTGAGTTTAAAGCGAGAGGTAACTGAGTTAATAGCAAGTATCTACAGTCAAATGTCTGGCTACTGAGTGAGCACACACACTCTTCTACAGATACCCGAACTTCAACAAAACTGCAATTACAACACTATGCTCCTGACTAAAATGATGTAAGTCTTCTGTGGCATATGAAGATGCTTTACTGCGTCTCTATAAAAGGGAGACACAAAGTTCCAAAGGTCATGGCATCCCCATGAGATTTACTAAAAGCTAATAAGTTGGATCTTGAATCATCATTAGCCCATATTCAGCCTGTATTACAGAAGCCTAGAAGTTCATACCAGAAGAGATGTCTTTGAAGAGAATTTTTAGGAGTAGCAAGTGCTCTGGGAAATGGGATGAGGTCCTCTTTCTGTACTCAGCCTCAAGTGAAAGTGAGTTCAAACAGAAAATGCTTTTCTTCTAAAACTCCAATTCAGACCTGCTTCTTGTTATTGTCAGCGCAGGACTAGAGATTTTTGGAAGAACTTTGCATGGATACTTGTTTGGAGTTCCTGTGCCTGTGTCATACAGGCTGGATAAGCTTAATTTCCAAAGGTTGCAGTGGCAAAAATTGTGAATTTTCCTAAGGACTAAGTCAGTTGATGGAGACTACTCAGATTGAGCCTCCTTGAATAAGTAAATAAGTACATAGTTAAAGAGAATAAAAGGGTATTATAGGGTGAAAAAGGTAGCAATAATTTATGTGCAATAAATAAAATATACTTTTCAGTGATAAGAAAATGAATACAGAGATTCTGTTTCAGGAAACTTGACATATCAAATAATATAGAAAAATAAGCAAAAATGCTCTTTCTACAATATATATGAGAAGCCTGAAGAAAATTTCACTAATGCCTTTCAACTGCAGAGCTGACTTTATAGGAAATTTAAAAAAGACTGTAAATCTAACTGTATTAATTAAAATTCAAGCTGCAGCTCCAATGAAGATATGTCCTGATCCAAGAACCTTGAGATGGAGTAATAATCAGGAAGAAGAATCCCCAGATTTGGTGATTGATATGGTTTGGCTGTGTCTCCATCCAAATCTCACCTTGAATTGTAATAACCCCCACATGCCAAGGATGGGGCCAGGTGGAGATAATTGAATCATGGGGGTAGTTTCCCTCATACTGTTCTCATGGTAGTGATTAAGTCTCACGAGATCCGAAGGTTTTATAAATGGGAGTTCCCCAGCACACACTCTCTTGCCTGCCGCTGTGTAAGATGTAACTTTGCTCCTCATTCACCGTCAGCCGTGATTGTGAGGCCTCCCCAGCCATGTGGAACTGTAAGTCAATTAAACCTCTTTCCTTTATAAATTACCTTGGGTATGTCTTTATTAGCAGCATTAAAACTGACTAATACAGCGATTAACTAGATATCAGGAGTAAAGAAGCCAAATGGTTAAGGGGTGATTGAATAAAGGAGAAAAGTTTTCAACTTGAGAAAGTAGTGGGAAGTAATTTGGGAGGCAGAAATAGAAACAATTTCAGTCCTAAGCAAAACTTGATAGCCTGTTGTGACGTCTTGGTGGTCCGGTGCCTGGGAGCACCGGGACAGAGGAACAAAACTTAGAAGTCACCAGTAGACATAAAGATGATGACTGTTGCTGTGAGAAGTAGTTAAGATTGTTAAGGAAGGAGGGACTGTAGAGAGGCTCTGGGATGAAAGTAACATGGAGAAACACCACTATGTAATGGCTGGGTAGCAGAAGAGGGGCCTATGGTGGGGTGTGTAAATGGGTTTCTATGGATATAGAAGAAAATGACTTAGACTCCACAAAAGGAATGCTCTTAAAGGATAAAAAGGTTAATCAGTGGACTGAGAAGCTGCCTAGAGCTTGAGGCTAGAAGTTTGAGACCAGCCTGAGCAACACAGTGAGACCTCATGTCAACAAAAAATAAACTAAAAAAGTTAGCCAGGCAGGTTGGCATGTGTCTGTAGTCTCAGCTACTTGGGAGGCTGAAGTAGGATGATCATGTGAAGTTTGAGGCTGACGTGAACTATGTGAAACTGCACTCTCGCCTGGATGACACAGTAAGACCCCTGTCTAAAAACAAACAAAAAAACAAAACAAAACAACAATGACAAAAACAAACCAAAAAAACAAACCTGCCTAGCGATCAGACTAGAAGTGGAAGCAAGCCCTGGATTTAGTAACAAGGAGAATTTGGGAGAATTTAGGAGTCTTTATTGAGAATAGGTTAGCTATTAATCTGTCGAAGCAGTATTTAATCTCCTGCTCCTTTCAAATTCCCACCTTCCTTTCAGAGGGTCCTTATTCATCATTCTATTTTACATATTAGAAAACTGGGGTCAGAGAGATTTACTCAGTTGACTAAGGCAGGGGCCAGCCAACTGTGACTGTGGGCCAAGTTCAGTTTACTGTTTGTATCTGAAAGCTAAGAATGGTGTTAACATGTGTAAATACATGGTTACATTTAAATGATTGTATAAGTGCTTATATAATATTGTTGATTTTCCCTTTCCATTCTCAAAGCCTACTACTGACTTTACAGAAAAAGTTTCTTGACCTCTGCAGCCTGTCTTATAGTAAGTGAAAATGATAGGATAAAAGTCTTCTGTTCATTCCACTTCCAAAACAACTCAGCCAGTCAATAGAACAAACCTCCCATTCTCTAACAAACAAAAATAACCTCCATGAATTAGCTACATATTAATGCAAAATATTATTAAATACCAAAGAATCAAAATGTAAATGCAGCCTGATAGCAGAGATTTCAAAAAATCTTCTTAGAATGATCTTCTGGACTTGGTCTTCAATAGTTTTGTGTAGTTTAAGAATCAATCAAATATTTTCAATCAAATAAAGTATCTAGAGGATGAGATGTTTCTTGCTGAAACATTGTCCTAACTAAATCACATATGTAGGCTGGGGAAATAAAGATTTGACCTAATTTTGATAATTTAAATGCAAAATAGTTTTTATCTTCCAGAGAAGAGGAAAAGTTAGGATTTTGACTTTATTTTATGTATGAAATATATTAGAATTTTAAAACTTTAAAAATACATCTTATGGCCCTTCTAGTTCCTTAATTTGTAGTATTGGTAGATTTTTAATAGATATCAAGAGTAATTAATTTATTCACTCTGGGGAAGTATTTGATATGCTGAGTCAATTAATGAATAAAAGAACCCTGTTCCTTCTCTTTTCCCACAGAATAACAAAGGGGCATGAGGGAGGGCATACTCTATCTCAAGAGGATAAACATTAGTTTTATCTCCTCTTTTAGAAGCTGCATACCCATAAGACAAACTTTTTAGTATCCTTGATTTTGTGACATCAATTTTAAGTTGGAGAGTTGGGGGATGCAGAAGGAAGTGTTGATCAAGTGAAGGGCTGGTCCACTCTATTGCCGGTTCACTGTCAATATCAAATGAAATAATGCAAGTGAAATTACTTTAAAAAGTATACATAAATGTAGGAGGTTAACTTTTTCTAAGAGAAATAAGAAAATACATCCAATTAAAATTGTAAATTTTAAAAAACAGTGACGTATCTGTCATGGTAAATAGTAAAATAAAAAGATTTGACTTAAACAATTCTCCTAACAAATAAAACTAAAATATATTTTCCCTTGTACAGGTAGGGTATAAAAGAAATACAAAGAATTAGATTTCTCTCACTTTTCAAGGAAAGTACAATGGGAATTCTTTGAATAAGATTAAATTCAAACTGTGAAAACAAGCCAAAACCTAAACTTTAATTCTACTCAAAAGTAAATGACAATAATAAAGATATTGTTATTTAGCATGAAGAGAATATGGAATTTGGGGTCAGTAAAATGGTCAGGAGCATAATTTAACAACATTGAATACTGGCATGTGCTATGGTCTGAATGTGTCCCTCCAAAATTCATATATTGAAATCCTAGCCTTCAGTGTGATGAAATTAAGTGGCAAGGCCTTTGGGAGTTGATTTTGTCCTAAGGACAAAACCCTCATGATTAGGATTAGTGCCCTTATAAAAGAGATCCCAGAGAGCCAGTTTGCCTCTTGTGAGGACACAGCCGGAAGGTGCCCTGTATCAGCCAGAGAACAGGCCCTCACAAGGTACCAAATCTGCCTTGATTTTGTACTTCCCACCCTCCAGAACAGTGAGAAATAAATTTCTGCTGTCTATAAGCAACCAATTGTATGGCATCTGTTGCGACCAATTTTATGCCCTGACTGGACTAAGACAGCATGAATATGTTCATGTAATATAATAATATTCATACAATGTGAATTATTTTAAAAACTAGACTTATAGTTTGCACAAAACAGAATAAAATATTTAAGTGAAAAAAATGGGCAGTTTGATTTAATACAAATTGTCTATCAGATAAAATGACAATAAATTACTTAAAGCATACTTTCATTTATTTTTAAAATGTTAATAACGTTTTAATTTGAATATATATTACAAATAAATAGAATCACTGTTTACACTGAAGATCAAGAGCTTCAGGGAAGAAAGTCAAGTAGCTTTATGGTTACCATTATTAAGGATCACACAGGCATTAAATGAAGAAGACAGCAAATTATTCTTCATTTCTTTAATCATGTGGTAACAAAGATATAGACCTATGAGTGTAATTTGATACGAACTTTTAGACCATGGTGAGACAAAATGGAGGGAGTTGCATGGTAGGAAAGAAATATGACCCTAAGGGAGTAGCAAATAAAAAGAGAAATGATTAAAAAACAGGTGTCCTGATGTGGCTTGTCTAAATTAAAAGAGAAGGCAGAGTTTTAAAAAATTGTATAAGTATGTATATCCAAGTTTGTGTAGTTGAGTAACTTCTGGGTTACTCTAGGCCTGTTTCTTCTTCCACTGACTACTTTGTCGTTCCAGTATAAATAAATCAAGATTTGCAATACCTGTGATTGACTGGAAACTAATTCCTAGGTAAGATTAGAGAACTCACATTCCTTAGAGGTATCAGGGAAGATTGAGACACCTGGCATGGGAGAAAGTGACACAGAGAATCAAAATTCTTGACCAATCTTTTATCTAGCATTTTTGAAATCACATAAATTTTAACCTGGCATTTTGATTATAACAAGCACGGTTGTAAACCCTTACATACATAGGGAAAAAATGTCCCCCAAATTTCACATGGCCCACTTTGCTAGACGAAGAGACTTGTGCTAACGAACATTGGATTTTAATTCTCAGCCATGAATTTATGTTAAACAATTCTCTTTGGCTGTAAGCCAATGACATTATGTTTAGAAAGTCTTGGGACTTTCTAGATCAAGAAGAAAATGATTGTAAATCCATATTTCAATTTTAATTTTGTTTGAACAGAAGTAACATTTCTTCAGCATTTATAAGTTCTATGTATTTCCACTTGGGGAGAAATGGACACTGCTTTGTCACCCTACACATCAACCTATCAGAAAAAATTTTTTTTGAGCTTTGGGAATTTCACATAACTGTTTGCCTCCAATATTTAATACATTAGAGCAATATAGCCAATAATCTTATGATTTCTCAATGTCTCAAATGATTTCAGAAATTTGATTCAATAATTTCACTTTTGAATTATATAAGATCTTATTAAATATCTACTAAGAAAATGAAGCCATAAATCAATCCCTCTGTTTCAAATTGCTTTGAAAGTGGGTTCCCCTTTTCTCCCATTGCAATGCTATTTCTGATAATAGTTTAATGATATACTTTTGTATGGTAGGGAAGATCATCATATTATGATTTCTTTTCTAGACCAAACTTGAAAAAGTGATTTGTGGAAGCCCTGCTTTCGATAAAGTTGGATCCTTTCTGAGCAGTGTATAAATTTGATCAGAAATGTTGGCAGTCTTTGGTACCAAAGCATGAAATCGAGAAATAATGAAGCATGAAGCTTCTTTTTTTACCAAACCAGAGAAACCAGATGTTATTACAGAGACCTGTCTTTACAGAGTACTGAGATTTTTTTCCTAGTCAAATGTGGCTGCTAACACTAACACACACAAACGACAATTTTGAAGAGGTTGACAATCTCTAAAATTTCAAACAGGAGCCCTTAAAGTAGTCAGGCTTTTGTGACTGCATCAGCAGCACATAATGCACTAAACTCAGGAAGTGGATGTGATGCAGGAGAATAGGGTCTGGAGGCAGGCAGCACGAGTCTGATTCATGCTGACTTACTAGAACGAGATCAAATGGAAACACTTCAGCAATGACATAAATGTGAATGGCTTTGCAACTTCACTTCATCCTCTCCATTTACAAAGGCAACATGCACCATGTTACATCTTCTCCATTTACGTAGGCCACAGGCACCAAGCAACATCCTCTCCATTTACATAGGGCACGTACTGAGTAAATGACTTTGTAACTTGACTTCATTCTCTTCATTTACATAGGGCATACAGCAAGTAACCAATGAGAAACCTCGAGAGAGTATTGAAACCCCAGAAAATTCTGTAACCAGGACTCTTGAGCCCCTGTGCTCGGGCCCACTCCCACACTATGGAGTGTACTTTCATTTTCAAAAAGAAAATCTTAAATCTCTGCTTTTGTTGCTTCACTCTCCTGGCTTTTTTTTTTGTGAGTGTTGTCCAATTCTTTGTTCAAGATGCCAAGAACCTGGCCACCTTCGACCAGTAACAGATGGACTGAGAGAAACCAGTAGATTCAAATTATTGTCCAATGTAGAAAAATGGAAAAGTTACCATATTCCTTGGTAATTTGCTTTAGAGTTATTGAAGAAACTTTAGAGATATTAACACAGATGGCATTATACAGAGACATAGCTGCTTCTGTTTTACTCTGCTCAAAGACATGAACAAATTCAACTTATTCCCAGGGTACATAACCTAGGGTGTTATTTCTTTTGTTTGATAATAGGATAAACAGCATAATGGGACACTGCAGTGAGGATGCTTTTGTTTTGAACAAATCAAAAGGTAAAATTCCAAGCTGTTTAATTCAAGCCTTCTTATTGCTCAAAATTTAAAAAATAGCTATGTATAGATACAACGTGGTTCTTCATTTTATTTGTTGTTGTTGTTGTTGTATTCATGTTTCACTGGCAAAGAACTCAGCATTCAAGAAGTCATAAAAGTAAGAAACATTTAAAAAGAAGAAATAACAAAAAAGGATAAAATACTTTTACTTGAAGGAAATAGATTAGTTGTTATACTAAATACAAATGGTCTGAAATCCTCTATTGAAAGACAGAGACTGTAAGTCTGGGTTAAAAAATAAAATCCAATTATCTATTACATACAAGAAATACACTTAGAAAAAAGCACTTAAAAGAAGCAGTTGAGTTTCTGTGACACTTCAAGGTTATTGATTTTAAAAGAGCTAATAGCACTCACCTTTGCCCTACTTTTTTTTCTTCTGCAGTTGTTATTATTTTTGTCAGTTTGATGTTTTCTAACTAAAGCTACATAAAATATCAAGGTATTTCTAAAAATTAATTCCTAGCAAGTGGAAATTCTTTCAAGTAGTATAAATTGGTGAGAATAATAATAATAATTCACTATGTATATGGCCAAGCATTTGTTCAGAGTAAAACAATGATTTTAATAACATAATTTTATATAAACTTAAAAACCAGTTTTCTTAAAGCAACAGGAAAACATTATAGGAAAAAATATTTTTATGACCATTTTTTAATGACATACATGGGACACAGCAAGTCCTATTGTACTTGCTAATATTTTAAACTAGCTTTGCTATATATATTTTCACCTAGTACTTTTTCATAGTAAATGTTTGATGACTTTTGAATGAATGGACTTTAATAGAATATTCTTTAAATTTGGGTGTTTTACTTCCTTTCCATGGGAAATTGGGTCTGTGCTTAGCATAGAGCAATAATTCAGTTTATAATTTTAATTTGATTAATTTTTGACTCAAAGATAAAAATTCCAACACTGCTTGGGATCCAGTTCTCTGCATATTTTTGGAAACATAAAATATCATCGATAATACTTTAAACTTTTAAACAATAAATACTTGGAGGTAATTTTAGTCTTTCAGAAGAGTTGCAAAAATAATATAGAGAATTTTCTTATGTTCTTACCCAGCTTGTCCTTATGTCAACTTCTTAACATAACCATAGAAAATTTATCAAAACTAGGAAATTAGCCTTGGAACAATACTATTAACTGAAGTACAAAATTTATTCAGATTTTATCAGTTCTTCTAATATCTCTGTTCTGTTCCGGGATCCAATTCTGTCTGATTCCTGCATTTAGTTGTCATGTCTCATTAGTCTTTTGTGATCTTTGGCAGTTCCTTAGCTTTTCCCTGTCTTTCAAGACCTTGATATTTTTGAAGAGTACTGGTCCGTTATTACGTAGAATGCTCTTCAATTTGTGCTTGTTTTATGATTTACTGCATTTAGATGGAAGTTATTCATTATTGGGAAGGATATTACAGAGGTGAGATGCTTTTCTCAGTGTATCACATAAGAAGGCATATGATGTTGGAATCTCTTTATCCCAACGATGTTATTCTTGATTCTTTGGCTAGGATGGTCTCCTCCAGAATTCTTAGCTATAAACACAAATTTTCCCTTTGGAATTAGTAAATATTTTGAAGAGAGAATTTAGGACTATGCAAATATCTGGTTTCTATTATATTTGGGCTATGCAAATATCTTACATTTTTGTTATGTTGTTTTAGAATTTACCACTTTATAGTGCCTATGACAATTATTACAGTGATAGTCTAATAAATATTTTTTATTTCCCCTGTTCCTTTTATATTTATAAATTGGAATTCTTCTGTAGGAAAGAGCTGCCACATATAGCCCACTTATTTGTCTATTAAGTTGTTTATTTATTTCAACATGGAGTCAATCTTAAATTATTTGGGTTATATTTGAAATGATATTTATTTTCTTGCTTAAATTCAAACTTTTACCATGAAATATTTCAGGTTGTTTTTTATTCCTCTTTCTTTTTTTTTCTTTCTTCCTCCCTTCCTCCTTTATCTCTTTCTTTCTTTTTGAACTCTTCTTATTTTCTGGTCCTATGAGATATTCCAAACTTGAAATCAACCAGCTCTCCTAAACTATTTATTGGAAAATAGTTGTTAGAAACCAAAATCTGGCCGGGCGCGGTGGCTCACGCCTGTAATTCCAGCACTTTGGGAGGCCGAGGCAGGTGGATCGCAAGGTCAGGAGATCGAGACCATCCTGTGAATGGTGAAACCCTGTCTCTACTAAAAATTCAAAAAATTAGCCGGGCATGGTGGCGGGGGCCTATAATCCCAGCTACTCTGGAAGCTGAGGCAGGTGGATCACAAGGTCAGGAGATTGAGACCATCCTGTGAATGGTGAAACCCCGTCTCTACTAAAAATACAAAAAATTAGCCGGGTGTGGTGGCTATAGTCCCAGCTACTCTGCAAGCTGAGGCAGGAGAGTGGCATGAACCCGGGAGGCGGAGCTTGCAGTGAGCCGAGGTTGCGCCACTGCACTCCAGCCTGGGCGACAGAGAGAGACTCTGTCTCAAAAGAAAAAAACAAAAAACAAAAAAACAAAAAAACAAAAAAAAAGAAAATAAAAAGAAACCAAAATCTATTTGCAAAATTGAATTTGAACTTTTAAAAATAACTTTATAGAGAAATAGTTTAAATACACTAAGGTGATCTCATTTTAAATATATTATTCAATCAGGTGTTTGTTTAGCCTTATAAAAACCTGTCAAACTATCTTGCAATGTAATTATGCCATTCTACACTCCAACCAAAAATACATGAGAGTTCTGAAATGGTTTTTGCCTTTATAAAATTTCACTAATGTTTCTGCTGAGAGTGATTTAATTTTTAGCATTTTATAAATAATAACAAACAGGTGATGGATTGCTTATTTATTATAATGTATTACGATTATTTGCTTCACTATATTCAGGAGATTTAATACAGGTGCATGCAGAGAATGATTAGTGTTTTTTGTTGTTGTTTTCTTTTTTGTCTGGCTTATATTCCTATTCAGGCCTTTCTGCCTTCACTAGAAATTAAGGAGTTATATTTTGAGGCCATGAATAAAAATATAGATAAATCACAAAACATATAATGACTATTTGACACACTTACGGTAGTATCTGATGCTAACAAAGAACATGATGTTTTCTACTTTAAAGAAACCCCTAGACAATAGTTCTATCTTTTCATGTATATGCTGTAAAATTTACTTTTTGTGGTATTTCCAGGGCCGTTGAGGTCCAGATGCCTTGATTCTATTCAGATAAACCCGAGTAGATTTGAACTTTGCTGCTTATAAGAAAAGATAAAATAATCTATCAAAATAAATGGTCTGAGCAACTCTGGATTTAAAAGATATATATCTCTATGGTATTTTAAAGTCTGTAATTTTGATGGTAGTAGAGAATCAGGACTATAAAAATAGTGTCTTTCTTCAGTAATATTGTTTAAGATGGAGATATCACCTGTACACAAAACAGCTGAAGAACTTGTTGCGAATTTTCTGATGTGGGAAATACTTTGAAAATTGTATGTAAAAACAAACACTATTCAAACATTAGTTACTAATGTTGAACATCCCCTACAATCAATCTCATTGTGTATTTTCAATTTAATGTAATTGGTAATATTTTAAAATATAGAGTGATTTAAAGGTAAACTTTTTTTTAATATAATATGAGACACAGCCCATTGTGATGACTTATGGTATACACTATATTGTGTTCTAAGCAATTGTACATATTAATTTGAACTGATAATTTACTTCTTTAAACTAGTAAAAAGCAATGCATATCCAAAAGTCAATATATTTTTATTCTTTTCTTGTCTACATGCATGTTGTTGAAAATTGTTGAATATGTGTGAATGGTGCTGAGATATTAAATTAAATGCATAATTTCTTTGGAAAAATACAATAAATGAAGAAAAATAAAGTTATGCTCAGATTCTCAAAGTACTGTCCTCATGAGGTAATTTCAGCAAGCTTTCTACACTGTAGGATTACAACAAAAGTCAATACCGGTTTAGAGAGCTGAATTTCCAATATTGGGTTTGAGAGTTCTACATCCTGTGATTCAAAATACCAATTACAGAAACTTGAGAAAACAAGTTTCCTTTGGAAAAGCATGCTATTCAAAGTGTCCAAAAGCAATATGCAAAGAACAATCTAGCTTTGAAATAGCCAGATGTGTGAAACTATAAAATCTGCTTGCTGCTCTAGTATTTTAATTAAAGTGAAATACTATTCTAGGTGAAACTGGAGTTAGAGTGTTGATTCCTTACTGAACTGATAGAATTATTAATGCAATTCTATAGAAATCAATTTCTGAAACAATAGAGAATATTAGCTAAGGAATAATTGATGTAGCCTCCGCTTCTTATGGGCAACACAGTCCCACTGAAACTGCAAGGATTGTATAAAAAATAAGAAAATTCATTGAAGATTTTGCTTGGAATTCTTAAAATTATTAATAATTGTCAAGCTTTTAATCTTTTTCAGGTTGCTTCTGTATTTTTTTTTGTTTTAAATTTCCTAATAGCCATTTATCTACTTAGGTGACTTTGTTTAAAGCTATTATAACCAGTTACTTCTACCACTTCGATATGATTTTTGTCATCTGACTCCATTTCTACATCTATCATATTGTATTGTTTTTTGTAAATAAATCTTGTATATAGCCATCATTTTTCTTTATTTCTACTTCCTTGTTTACTTTGGCTTCTGTATAAATTCAATGTTATACAAGAATAAGCTCAAATTCAAATTCTCGGCCTCTTGATGACCTTTGCCTGAAGTGATAATTTCCTTCTATAACTTTCTTACAGCAATCTTCATCTGTACATTTCAAATGTCATCTCTCTTATAGTTGTTTTGAGTGATTATTTAAACATTTTGTTGTTCAACTTTATCATAATCCACATTGTCTTAACGATGAATACCTGGCACATTGCTTTGATATTGTAAATGGTGTACATTTCCCAGTTTCATTTATCATTCTCTCCGGCACATTTATTTATGAGCCTAATAATGTTTTGCTGTTCATTTCATAAGATATTTAGCTGGAAATACTATAGGTGTCTACTATATAAAAACAACATATTATTATTTATATCTCTCTAAGCTACAACTTTAGTGAGGAATAAAATTGATGTTCGTACTATTTATCTTCTTGTTATGAATAAAATTGGATGAGCTAATTACTTGTCTGCTTTTCTGAAGGATATAGTATTTCTTATAGCTTTCCTGCTATAAGAAAACTATATGGCACTTCTTTTTTTTTAATATATGGAGAAAACTTCTAGATGCTTGAGGTGGTGAGGGGAAAGTTAAAGGTGGTAAAATTTGGGGTAAATTGTCGAGAAGAAATTATGGATACTGGGGCTATCCTGAAAGAATTCTTGACATCTTGCAGAATTAAATTCGCTATAGAGTTTACCAAAATATCTATGAAACTGGAGGGTGATTGAAGGAAGGAAAATATAGTATGTTAACTTCCATAAATTTCAAAAGAAATGAAAAAGCAAACACAGTAGACTTAGAATGTAGAAGAAACCATTTCATCTTATTTATATAAAAGGGGAAATTCTGATTAAAACTCCATTTTGATCTGTAAAACAAATGTACTGGCAAAATAAGTCACACCTGGGACTGTGTCTACACATACCAAAATTTTAAAATGAGAAAGTTGGAGGTGAGGAAGACTATTTAATATTGTTGATACAATAAAGTAAGAATCAATCAGATATTTAAAAATCTGTAATAAAGTTGTGCATATGTACGCACCCTGAATATGTAAATAAAATTCCAGATGATTTACAATATAAAAACAAAATAACTATACGTTATATAAATATCTCAATTATCTTCAACCATTTTGGAAAACATTTGGGCAATTTCTTACAAAACTGAACATGGTAGAAACTGATATCCACACAAAAACTAGAATGTGAAAATGTATAGCAGTTTTATTAATAATTGTCCCAAACTGGAAGCAACCAAGATGTTTTAGTGTCTTTTATTAATTTTGGAAACTTTTCAGTCATTATTACTTTAACTATTTATTCTTCTCCATTCTCTCTTCTCCTTCTGGTATTCCAACTACATGTATGTTATACCTTTGAAATCGTCCTACTAGTCTTGAAATCTCTTTTTCTCTCTTTCTCTCTCTTCCTCCCTTCATTTCTTCTCTTTGTAGTTTGGGAAGCTTCTATTGACCTATATTCAATACCACTGATTCTTTCTTGTGGCATGACCAGTCTACAATGAGCCTTACATTACCCTTCTGTTTCTTCACATTGCTTTCATTTCCATTAGAGGTCTTACATATTAATCATAGTTGTCTTAAATTCTCTCATAATTCCAAAATTGTGTTACTGCTGAGTTTGATTCTGATGCTATCTTTGTCTTTTCAAACTATTTTATTTTTTGCCTTTTAGCATGTCTTTTAATATTTTTGATGAAGGCCGGGCATAATGTATCAAGTAAGAGAAATTGAGATAAATTGGCTTTTTTTTTTCTTTGGGACAGGGTCTCACTTAGTATCCCAGGCTGGAGTGTAGTGGCACAACTGTAGCTCACTACAGCCTCAAATCCCTGGACTCAATTGATCCTCCTGCCTCAGTCTCCTAAGTACCTGACTATAGACACATGCCATCATGCCTGGCAAATTTTATTTTTATTTATTTATTTATTTATTTATTTTAGAGAGGGGGTTTCACTATGTTGCCCAGGCTGCAGGCTGGTCTGGAACTCTTGGCCTCAAGTGTTCTCCCAGCCTCAGTCTCCTTAGTTGTGGAGACTAAAGATGTGAGCCAGTGTGCCTGGCCTAATTGGCTTTTAACATGAGACTTTATGTTAATCTGATCAGAATTTAGGCTGTGCTTAATGTTTGCTGCATTTATAGGTGCCGGGGGTTTCAAATTCCTCTTGTGTCCTATTTTCGTATCTCCTGTTGACTTCGGAATTCCTTAGCTGCTCCTCCTAAGAGTTTGGATCTTGCAACTCTTTCAGCTATAATCCTTTGTTATATATCCTCTGTTGATGTGGTGCTAAATCACGGAGGAGGGGACACGTTTCACCATTTTGTGATTTGATCTCAGTGTTTTAGGAGATAGGTATCTCTGAACTCTTAACTTTCACAAACATGTCTTAGCTTTTATTTTCCTTCCTTAGGTGAAATAGGAAGGCTAGAAGGGACTATAGTGGGAAAACTATGCCCTTCCGCCAAGTGGGAAAAGGCTCTGGTAAAGTCTTTTTTGTTTTTAGATTATAAAGCCCTTTAGGAAGAATGTCCTCTCTCTCTCTCTCTCTATATATATATATATGTGTGTGTGTGTGTGTGTGTGTGTGTGTGTATATGTATATATATGTGTATATATATAAAATTTTATTTTATTTTATTTTATTGAGATGGAGTCTTGCTCTGTCGCTCAGGATGGAGTGCAGTGGCATGATCTTGGCTCACTGCAACTGCTGCCTTCCGGGTTCAAGCGATTCTCCTGTCTCAGCCTCCCCAGTAGCTGGGACTACAGGCGTCCACTACCATGCCTGGCTAATTTATTTTTATTTTTATTTTTAGTATAGATGGGGTTTCACCACATAGGTCAGGCTGGTCTCGAACTCCTGACCTCAAATGATCCACCTGCTCGGTCTCCCAAAGTACTGGGATTACAGGCGTGAACCACCATGCCCGGCCTGCTTAGTATATTTCACAGTGATTATTCTTCCTTGCCCCCAATCGGGTTCATGAAAGGAACGTTCCCAGCTCTTTACTGGACAACATGGTGAGGCCCTCATGGAAGTGTGGGGCCCCTCAAGACCGCATCCTCAGGTGTTTCTCCCATCATACAAGTCTTCACTCTGCCTGTAGTTACTCATCAGAATTAACATTTATGTGTTCCTACAGGCTTATGGCTTCCGTAGCTTCTGCTCCAGATAAGCAAATCTAGCTGTAATTCTTCAGATTCACCTGTCTTTTCAGATTTTGAAGGAGTAATTTTCCCAGGGACCTCACTTCTCTGAAGAGTCCAAGAAAAGTAGTATATTTTTGGTTGGTTCGGCTTTTTCTTCTTGTAAAGATGAAAGCCATGACTTAAGTGACTGCCTAACATTTTATTAATCATACACAAATGTGATTTGTTTTAATAAAGTTTTTAAAATTGCATTGCTGATATTTTTCAGTTGTAACACACATCTGATTAGTGTATTATAAAATTAATCACTATTAACTTCTATTACAGAAAGAAAGTCTGAATATGCATTTCTTCAATCTATCTTTGCCCCATGGTTTAGGTCACAGTCTGACAATGAGATGAACTAAACTGAGATTTGGAAGGTAGAAGAAAAAAGAGGATTATTCTTCAGAAGCCTTTGAAGCCAAGGGTGTGGGCAGATGACAGACAAGAAGTTCACAGCAGCTTGCTGACAACATCCTACATCTCACCTGCTTTAGGCTTTGTATAGCTTAGATAGCTCATGGTGACTTCTGGAGAATTGTTCTCCTTGGTATTGCAGATTCAAATAGTCAGTGGAAGCCACTCAGCAGTTCTTGAGATTTCAGTGACTTCTGGAGGAATTTTTAAGAACCATCTACTTTAGTGCCATAGGCTGGAAATATTGGTGAGAGCTTCCCTTTCTTTACTCTCCGATCCATACAATGGTTTTGAAAAACTTTTAGTTTCTTCTATTGAAATCCTTCATACTTGGAATAATAAAATAGCTTCTATTTTCATGACCAAACATTGACTATTACAAAAATATTTCCCCTTATTTGAGAGCCAATACACATGATAGAATCTATACATGATAGATGTGTAGAGGACAAGATTGTTATATGTTTTGGATAAGTTAGAGAACCTAGCCAGTACTCTTTCTTGAATGGTAGGCCACCCTACTTTCAATTCTCCTGTGCTGGTAGACCAGAGGTACTACAGAGTCAAAGAGAGAAACACTCAGATTAAAATGAACAAATAAAAAATAAAATTTAAAAATGTTATATTGTTCTTTGAGAAATATTTTGTAATCTGCCTGCTCTTTAATAATATATAGTTAAAATATATATATGAAATATATACATATATAAAAAACTAGGAAATTAATCTCTGGAAACATCTGGATTTTTTTCTGAGAATGGAGATAATTCCTAATATATATATATATATATATATACCTTATTCACACATACATATATGTGAAAATTATTTTAAAATACTTAACTATAACCATTTCAACTGTAAAGATTTAAAACAGTAAGACTGACAAACACCAGATTCTTAATGTCATTATCATTTATACCAATGTCTTTTGGTGATGGTGGTGAGGGCTTTGCCTTCAAACAAATAAATGCACTCAGAGGGATTAATGTGGATTTTTACTGAGAGAGATTCATTTATGCATTGGAAAATTTGGAATTATTTCCTGGTGAATACTAAATTGTGATACAGTATCTGTGAAGAGCCTGCATTTCTTCACTTGCCAATTCTGGTAATAGCAAAGAAAATATCTCCGTTCTGAGGTCTTCCCTTCATTCAAGTCTGAAGACATTGTCAGTATAGTTCACCTCCACAAAAAGGAAATTAAGAGGTTTGATTCAGCAGAAAGCTATTTTGGCTCTACCTGTTAAAAAAAATGTACACGTACACATTTCAAACTATCTACAGCCAAAGGACTTGCTGACTCCTTTCTTGTCAGGCTTCACAGCAAACCAATCACCCAGGATCTGGTATCCACACTATCTCCAATGCAATAGATGAAGACTGTGTGATAGAAGCAATTTCTATTGACTTCTCTAAGGCATTTGCTTTAGCTGACCATAAATTATCCCTACAAAACTTCAGGGATTTGGGGCGTTGTAGTGACTACATAAAGTGGTTTGCATTAACTTGTCAAATTGTATAGAAAAGAAAGCCTTGTGAACATGGATTCAAGGGAATTACAAATGGGACGCCTGAGGGCATATTTTATTTTCTCTGCTTGACGATTATCTTACAGTCTAATGTGTTTTCTCCCTTGTGCACATGTGTGCTGATGATATAGTGTGATTTTACAGCACAACGCTGATGCCCTGGGGTAGCCCCCGCAGCCTGCAGTTCAACTTACTGAGCTGTTTTTTTTCTCCAGAAAGTTGATTCAAATGAAACCTGATGCCAAAATCTTAGTCTTGTGTTTCACTTCAAGATTTCATAAATTTAACATCTCATTAATGATTAACAAGCAGGTTACATTTCAGAACTGGCTGAGTAAGCTTCATTTCTGGATTCTGTCCTAACTTTGCTTCAGATTTTTTAAAAAGCACACTTTTCTCTCTTTTCAGTGCCTGTAAAAATTTCTCTCTGGGAAAGCGTTGTGTTATTTAAATGTGATCACATTGGCCTTTAAAAAAAATTATTAGGGTAGAGAAGGAGTTGGCTGCATGCCAGCCTGGATGTTTAGTGGGCAGTTGCTGCCCCAGTGCACCTGGTTTGACAGGTGTCTAAGTGTCTCTTAGAGCCTCTTAGGACCTTGCACTCTCCAGCAGCTGTGGAAGCTGATAAAGCCAATGTGATGTGAAAATCTGGGATCTTCACAGGCAGAATGCATCCTAACCTCAGTGGCTGGCATGAGTGGGCTGGTGCATCCTACCAAGCCAGAAGGGGAGGACTGAGAAATGTATTCAAACCAAAATGTGCACTTGAAAATCTAGTCCCTGATCATTACTTTAATTATCATAATGTATAAAATGGCACAATCTGATACTAAAAGGAGCAACTGAGATTGTCATTTTTCATAGAAGGAAGATAAAATATGGAAATTCAGAATCATGCAATGATACATGGAATGGCTCATTTAAATAGTATTGCTTTTTCTTTGCAAATAGGAAAACCAAGGCTCAGAAAACTTACATAACTTCCCAAGGTCATAGAGCTCTTTCTAAGTAACTAATTTGGTATAAAGAGTATTAGGAATATAAGGTCATATGATTTTTATCCTTAATTCTGTTAATGATATCTGGTAGAAGTGATATCTAATAAGAATGCAAGATAAAGAACGAAATGTTACAGAGTTTAAACATTTTTCTAAAGTCCCTAGTCAATTACCAATCATTTCTACCATTCTTTTTTATTGTTATTTAGTTTTTATTTCATAGTCATAAACTTAACTTTGCAATCCAGCTAGACATGGAAGGGAACAAGGAAAACATGGCACCCAAAGGGAACTGCAGCGAGAGCACAAAGATTCCAGGATACTGCGAGCAAATGGGGTGGAGAGGTGCTCTCCTGAGCTACAGAAGGAATAGTCTGGTGGTTAAGATAAAATATCAAACACAAGTCAAACGTATTAGAGTTTTCCACAGTCAGAAATGGTGATCTTCTTGCTGGTCTTGCCATTCCTGGACCCAAAGCGCTCCATGGCCTCGACAATATTTATGCCTTCTTTCACCTTGCCAAAGACCACATGCTTGCCATCCAACCACTCAGCCTTGGCAGTGCAGATGAAACACTGGAAACTGTTTGTGTTGGGTCCAGTATTTGCCATGGACAAGATGCCAGGACCTGCGTGCTTTAGGATGAAGTTCTTGTCATCAAATTTCTCCCCTTGGATGGACTTGCCACCAGTGCCATTATGACTTGTGAAGTCACCACGCTGACACATAACCCCGGGAATAATTCTGTGAAAGCAGGAACCCTTATAACCAAATCCTTTTTCTCCAGTGCTTAGAGCATGAAAGTTTTCTGGTGTCTTTGGGATCTTGTCTGCAAACAGCTCGAAGGGGATACCACCCAAGGGCTCACCGTGGACAGCGATGTCGAGGAACACGGTGGGGTTGACCATGGCTGATAGTAGAGGGCTCCCGGTGGCAGCGGCGTCTGCAAAGCCCATTTTTTCTGTTACTATACGAAAATACCAAGTTGATTGTTTGCATAAAGACAAAATGACTTTGTCACATTGATTTAAATGTAGTACAGTAAAGAAGTGTGAACATTTTGTATCCTTCATTGTAACTTAACTGCTTACTTTATTTGTGTTAAATTTCTTAAGCCCCGTTCATCTCTAAAACAAATTAATGGCAACAGAAGTACTTTCTCTCTCTCTCTGTCTCTCTCTCTCTCTCTGTGTGTGTGTGTGTGTGTGTGTGTGTGTGTGTGTGTGTGTATGTGAGAGAGAGAGAGAGGACATAATTAAAATTCTGAAAATCTTATTTTAAGTCTAGAAGATTAGATGTAAGATTTTCCCTCTAAAATCAGAGCTAATAAAAGTGAGCAGATGTTTTAACTTATGCTATTTCAATTATTATCTCTTGTTTATCATACAGATCAAAATCCCATTTCTAAAAACAAATGACTAGTATACTCATTTTCACCAAGATGACCAATAAAATGTTGTTTTGTTATGGAATGTTTTTATTAGAGAATAAAGCAATCACAGTTTTTTAAATTTCAGAAATCTGTGTCCTCTGAGGAAGATACCTGTGGAGAAGTTTTGTGTATCTACATGTGGATTCCTTGTTTTTCAAAAAACATTAGGCATAAGTAATTGTCAACAGTATTTCTTCCGACCAGCCCCAGTTTCACTTGAAAACCAAGACACAAATATACCAAATATTAGAACAAAGATTGCTCAGGGTAGACACATTTTTTGTGTGTGTGTTTGTCTACTTTTGCTTTGACCATTCCTTGGCCTTTTACTTTCTCTCTCATTTTCCTATCCCGTGATTTTGGTTTTCCTAATTTTTAGCCTCCTTTCCTTCTAGTTCAAGTATAATTCTGGTGTTTTCTCAAACACTTTTGTACTTTGCTCCCCCTGTGAATTGGCTAAAAATATTCCATTTGTTAGGAATTGAAAATCAGTGTCACCTAGGACTGTGTGAAGGTTTTCTCAATCGCACTGTATGGAGAAGTGCTCGCCATCATTTAAATCTTCTTATTTATTCGCAACAATGGCATACCAATTATATTATCTGGTCACGTAAATTCCCTGTATCTTATTCATGGTCTTAGATTATGATTTTATTGAAGAATGGAGACTGACTGTGTATTTTTAAGTCATGCAGAATATTTAACAGTGCTTTATACATGGTAGCCACTTAAACCTCATTGAAAAGTAAATTATATTGATTCAAAATGAATATGTCAGCCAACTTCAGACTGAAGACAATAGCATTTTTTGAATTTATAAATATTGAAGATCTATATAGGAGACACCTCAACCTCTTTATTACCACATTGCTATGAAGAATATACATTGTATCTCCTATTCTCATATTTGTAAAAAAAATAATAAGCAAACATAATCTTTCATAATGGCAAACAAATAAACAAGTCTGCCATTTGTCAAGATATGATTTAATACATGATACCTAAAACTATAATTGCTGCTTTGTATTATGAATTACAATTTGAAGTAAACTGTTGTTAATGTCAGTTAAAATATATGATAATATCTAGAAAATCATAATGTTGAGCAATTAAGCTCTTAGAAGAGTCTAACTTTGTGTTTATAATTTCCATCTATATTTTTGTTTTTGTTAAGTGAAGCAGGAATGCAAACACTATATTCATCCATGAAGTGAATGAAATTTCTAGATTTTGGCAGCTCCAATTTGTCTTATGAAATTTTAGTGATGGCTAAGTGTTTTGATTTTGATGGGTAACATATTCTTGTTACTTCCTTTGAAATGTATCCAAAATGCTTTTTAGTGATCTTGATATTGGTTGAAACTTCATATATCTGGTATCTTTACGTGTGTGTGCTTAATTCTTCCTAGAGCTTATAAAGTGAGCTGACAGAGCATCTTATGTTCTTGGGTCATGTTGTTGGTTTCCTTAAGATTCCACATGGTCAAAAGGGGATTGAGGTATTGAGTTTGTATAAATGGAATAGAGTAAAACTTACTTAGTTTCGCTAACATTTGAGCCACTGCCTTGACTATCGTCACAGGTTGCCTCACTCAAAACCTCATAAACAAATATGTCCTGTATTGTCTTGTTCACATTGTAGGTTCTGAATAAAAATGAATTTGACAGGATGAATAAAACATGGAAATAATGATAATTGATATTGTTTTTGCAACAATCCTGCAGAGTAGTTATTATGAATCTACAGCTCCAAAGTGAAAAAGTGCTGTGAAAATATAGGCTTATCAGACTAGTAAAACATAGTAAAGAATAAGATATAATTCTGAATGGATGTGGGTCCTGTCAGTTTTAGTCTAAACAGAGTTTGAGGCTGTCCCTTAGAATTTGTTGGATGCACTTAGTTTGGGTTGCTGAAACTGGAATGGATGAGTGTTTGGTGTAGTTTTGTATGTAGAGCTGGAATCCTAAATCAATATTATAGGAAGGGAAGTTGTGTGGGAAATGGTAAAGGTTGAGAGTTGGGATCATTATTTTTAAGGGTGTGACATTATTTCAGTAAAAATCCTTTACTCTGAGGTTCTACTTACGTAGGCTGAGCAAGTATGATTTTTCCTGCATGATATAGACATCTCTTATGCCTCAAATGTTATTTTCCCAAGACTCTTCTATCAGTCCAGTATCTCATTGTTGTCGTTTTCTTCAGCCTATAGAGTATTATTAAACTCATGTTTTCCTATTTTTTCTGATTATAAAACTGAGCTTTAGAAACTATGAAAATATATAAAGAAAATATGATATTCCACCATAGAGTTAACCTATTATATGGGCTAAATATTTCCTCTCCCACACCAGAATTTATACGTTAAATTCCTAACCCCCAGTACCTTAGAATATGACCTTATTTGGAGATAGAGTCTTTACAGAGATAATCAAGGTTAGATGAGGTCAGTGGATTGGCCCTAATATCACAACTGGTGTCCTTATTTTTAAAAAGATAATTAGAAAGAGGCATGCATAAAGGGAAAATGCCATGTGAACATGAAGACAGGTTTCTGCAAGCTAAAGAGAGATGCCAGAAACAGATCCTTCTCTCACAGCCATCAGAAGAAACCAACTTTCCCAGTACATTGATTTTGGACTTCTGGCTTCCAGAAGTGTGAGACAATAAATTTCTATTATTTAAGCCTCTCAGTTTTTGGTACTTTACTATAGCATCTAGTAATATACATGATATGTTTTGAAGTACTTCCTTTAAGTCTGTATATATACCCCACATGTACATCTATATGCACATAATTTTATGTACAACTATCTTTATTAACATTATACATTAAGGTTGGGCACAGTGGCTCACACCCAGAACTTTGGCAGGCTGAGGTGGACGGATCACTTGAGTTCAAGAGTCCGAGACCAGCCTGGTCAATATGATGAAACTCCATCTCTACTAAAGATACAAAATTTAGCCGGACATGGTAGCATGTGCCTGTAGTCCCAGTTACTTGGAAGGTTGAGGCAGGTGAATCGCTTGAACAGGGAGAGGGAGGTTGCAGTGAGCCAAGATTGCACCACTGCACTCCAGCCTGGAGTAAGACTCAGTCTCCAAAAAAAAAAATAATAAAATAAAACAAAAAATTATGCATTAAGCATTTCCCTGTTATTTAAATAACATTCCGTATTATTATTTTCATCTGAAATATGAAGATGTGTATTGTAGGGTTAACTCTAGAATGGTTTCTTCCCACAGTCTCTTTAGGTTTTGCTCTGGACTGAAATTAAACTCTGTCCAGGGAAGTCCTATTGGGGCCCAGCCTCACTTTGTATCAATAGCCTCATTACCATGTCCACTCCATTCCAATCTTTATATGTGGACTGGAAAAATCATAATTCTTGGATGTCAGGCTGGCTTCATGGGTATGCAACCCATGCAGTTGCTCAGGGCTCACGCTTTCTGAGGGTACTTTTAAAACCACATTGGTTTAGTGCTCTGCTGTCTCTGTCTTAAAACTCTTAAGTTTTTGAACAAGAGGTCCAAGCTTTTCACTTTACGTGAGGACCAATAAAGTATGTAGTTAATCCTTCTCAGTTCCCCATTTCAGTATTAGAGCACCTTTTATGTTCCAGCTATTATGATATTCTCACCTTGCTGTTCTTTGTAATTATGACTTCTCTGACCCCTCTAGGATTTTCTTCTTTAGCAATTTTTTCAGATTTTCTTGTTTAAATGGCTTATTTGATAATTTTTTCTGACACAGTTATTGCATTTTCCCTAGTGATTTATTCTATTTTTCATACTCTGATTTCATAAAATACTATCATGAATAAGATTTTTTTAAAATTCTAGCTGTCATGAGAGGAGATATAAACATAGTGTTTCTTTAATAAAATTTAGAGGAGTAGGCAATTGATCAAATTTACTCTCATTACCGTGAGAATGATTGGATTTTGAAAATAGGAAAATGTATTAGTCTGTTTTGCATTGCTACAAAGGAATACCTGATGCTGAGTAAAGCAAAAAGGTTTATTTGGCCCACGGTTCCACAAGCTGGACAAGAAGCATGGTACCATCATCTGCTTCTGCGGGGCCTCAGGAAGATTTCACTCATGGTGAAAGCGAAGGGAAGCAAGCATGCCACATGTGTGACAGAGAGGAAGAAAGAGAGGAGGAAGAGGTGTTAGGCTCTCTTTAGCAAATCAGATCCTACAGTAACTAATAGCCTGAGAACCCATGCATTACTGTGAGGATGGCACTGAGCAATTCATAAGGGATCCACTCTCATGACTCAAATACCTCCCACTCGGCTGACCCCACCTCCAACATTTGGGATCCATTTTTCACATGAGATTTGGAGGGGAATAGACTCTATATCAAAGAAAAAATGTAGTATAAATTAGAAATGCAGGCTATGCCTGTTAGGATGCTTCTAGCTGCAAGTAATGGAAAATCCCACTAAAAGTGACTCAAAATAGGCCATTTATCGTCTTATGTGATAAGAAAATCAGAGGTCAGCAGAATCCATGGTTGGTTAACTCAGCAGTTCAAGGACCTCATCAGGGATCCTAGTGCTGGCACTATCCATATTTTCCACTCTCCCTTATCAGTGTGTCAGTAAGCTTCTCCTTATGATTACGTGATAGGTAAAGTGCTTCCAGGCATCCCATGAAGACTAGATGACATATATTTAGAAGAGAAACTTTTCTTTCTATACAGCTCATCTTCTCAACCAGGAACTCTTTCTCAAAAACCCCACAGCAGAGCCCTCAGCTTCAATTAACCAGAATTGTGTTATGTCCTTGATATGGTTTGACAGTGTTCCCATCCAAGTCTCATCTTGAATTGTAATAATCCCCATGTGTCCAGGGTGGGACCAGGTGGAGACTATGGAATTATGGTGGCAGTTCCCCCATGAAGTTTTTGTGATAGTGAGTGAGTACTCATGAGAGCTGATGGTTTTATAAGCATTTGGCATTTCCCTTGCTTGTGCTTTTCCTTCCTGCTGCCATATGAGGAAGGATGTGCTAGCTTCCCCTTCTTCCATGATTGTAAGTTTCCTGAGGCCTCCAAAACCCTGCAGAACTGTGAGTCAATTAAACCTCTTTCCTTTATAAATTTCCCAGTGTTGGGAATGTCTTTATAGCGGCATGAGAATGAATTAATACAGTAAATTGGTACCAAGGTAGTGGGGGACTGCTATGAGGATACCTGAAAATGTGGAAGCAACTTTGGAACTTGGAAACAGGCAGAGGTTGGAACAGTTTGGAGGGCTCAGAAGAAGACAGGAAAATATGGGAATGTTGGAACTTCCTAGAGACTTGTTGAATGGCTTTGACCAAAATGCTGATAGTGATAAGGACAATGAAGACCAGGCTGAGGTGGTCTCAGATGGAGATGAGGAACTTGTTGGAAATTGGAGTAAATGTCACTCTTGCTATGCGAAGAGACTGGTGGCATTTTGCCCCTGCCCTAGAGATAGGTGGAATTTTGAACTTGGGAAAGATGATTTGGGGCATCTGAAGGAAGAAATTTCTAAGCAGCAAAGCATTCAAGAGGAATTGGAGCATTAAAGTTTGGAAAATTTGCAGGCTGATGATATGATAGAAATGAAAATCTCATTTTCTGAAAGAAATTCAAACCAGCTGCAGAAATTTGTATAAGTAATATGGAGCTGAATGTTAACCACCAAGACCATGGGGAAAATGTCTTGAGGGCTTGTCAGAGGTCTTCATGGCAGTCCCTCCCATCTCTGGCCTGGAAGCCTAGGAGGGAAACATGGTTTCGTGGGGTGGGACCAGGATTCCCCTGCTGTGTGCAGTCTAGGGACTTGGTGCCCTGTGTCCCAGCTGCTCCAGCCATGGCTAAAAGGGGCCAAGGTACAGCTTAGGACATCACTTCAGAGGGTGCAAGCCTCAAGCATTGGCAGCTTCCATACGGTGTTGGTTCTGTGGGTATGCAGAAGTCAAGAATTGAGGTTTGGGAACCTTTGCCTAGATTTCAGAGGATGTATGAAAATGCCTTGATGTCTAGTCAGAAGTCTACTGCAGGGGTGGAGCCCTCATGGAGAACCTCTGCTAGGGCAGTGTGGAAGGGAAATGTGGGGTTGGAGCCCCCACACAGAGTTCCCACTGTGGCACTGCCTAGTGGATCTGTAATAAGAGGGCCACCATCATCCAGGACCCAGAATGGTAGTAGATCCACTGACAGCTTGCACCGTGCACCTGAAAAACCTGCAGACATTCAATGCCAGCCATGAAAGCAGCTGGGTCTGGGGCCTGTACTCTGCAAAGCCACAGGGGCAGAGCTGCCTAAGGCTGTGAGAGCCCACCATTTACATGAGCATGCCCTGGATGTGAGACATGGAGTCAAAGGAGATCATTTTGGAACTTTAAGGTTTAATTACTGCCCTATTGGATTTTGGACTTGCATGGGGCCTGTAGCCCCTTTGTTTTGGCCAATTTCTCCTATTTGGAATGGGTGTATCAACCCAATGCTTGTATCCCCATTGTATGAAGGAAGTAACTAACTTGATTTGATTTTACAGGCTAATAGGCAGAAGGAACTTGCCTGGTCTCAGGTGAGACTTTGACCTTGGACTTTTGGATTAATTCTGGAATGAGCTAAGACTTTGTGAGACACTCAGAAAGGCATGATTGTATTTTGAAATATGATGATATGAGGTTTGAGAGGAGCCAGGGGTGAAATGATATTGTTTGGCTGTGTCCCCAACCAAATCTCATCTTGAATTGTAATAATCCTCACATGTCAAGGGCAGAACCAGGTAGAGATAACTGAATCATGGTGGTGGTTCCCCCACACTGTTCTCAGGATAGTGAGTGAGTTCTCATGAGATCTGATCATTTTATAAGCATCTGGCATTTCCCCTGCTTGAACTTCTCTTTCCTGCTGCCATATGAAGAAGGATGTGTTTGTTTCCTCTTCCACCATGATTGTAATTTTCCTGAAGCCTTGCCAGCCATGGTGAACTGTGAGTCAATTAAACCTCTTTCTTTATAAATTACCCAGTCTCGGGTATCTCTTCATAGCAGTGTGAGATTGGACTAATATGGTGCCCATGACTCAAATACCCATAATCAAGGCAAATGTCACCATGACTGACATGAACCAATCACATTCCTGTCCAGGGTCTTGGGAAACCTTGAACTCTCATAAGGTCATAGTTACTTGATCACAGAAAAGAATTTCGGTCCTTTAGAGAGAATAATTGGGAATGGCTGTTGATTAGGCAACAAATAATGCCACACTGGGACTTAAATATATGTAAAATCTATAATCTCTAGCTAGCTAGCTAACAATCATTAAACCAGTGTGTTTTTTTTTTCTTATTAAAATGACTAAACTGTTTTAGAATTGGCATGGTAGATTGGAGCATGCAGTGTTGTAATCATGTAGTGAATAAACAGCTGGCAGTGTGTGGGATGTCCATACTTATTTCTGGATGTAATTCCTGTCCTCGGGCACTACTAAAGCACTGGGTAATGATTGCTGAATGGCCATTCATCCAAAGGAACAAATAATATGTGATTCTGCCTGGGGACACAACCAGCTAAAATTGGTTGGAGTCATGCAATATGCATTGAGCTTGGTCAAGAGAGCAAGTGGGTCATAAGCTCAGGCAGGGTGTAATTGGCTCAGGACAAAAGAATGAATGAGACTAAGTCACAGTGAGGGATCAGGATAATATCCCTAACTCAGCTGATGCTTTTATCATGCTTGGCCAGTGTGCATTATCTTATAGGTACTTCCTTTGCTGCTCCAATGTAAAAGTCCCATTGGTGGTGTAACAAGACGATTCTATAATAAAAATAAAAATAACAAAGAAAAAATGAGAATGGTGAGAGCAGAGAAAAACTTCGGGTGCCAAGAATCTCATTTTCTCAGCATCCAATTTAATGCAAGCCCTGGGAGGCATTATAACCCCCTGGTGGCAGAGAGCTGGGATGTCCAAGCTGGCTGACAAAATATGAAAACTAGAAGATGCCTTAATTAAAGTTGGAAGCAGAATTTTATAGTCAGGAATTTATAAAAATTGGGATGGCAAGAAGCCTCTCTATTTCTCTTTCTATAAGGCTGTTTCTTTTTTTTTTTCAAGTCCACAGTATAAAAACAGGAAGTGTTAGTAAAAGAAAAATGTCTAATTGCAATACCTTTATGACATACTAAAATGAATAAATTTCTGCAGTAGATGATGAATACTTTATAGGGGAGTATACCTAGTTAGTCATCTGTGAAATAGGTTTAAATATCAGGCTTTTTAGCAAAGGGTCTAGAAAATGCTCTTTTATCCTTTGTGAGTATAATAGCTACAATGCAGAGGGGCTTCCTTTCAGATGGTGGTGGAGGCCAGCAGATGGACAGCAGTTTTTCCTTCTGAGTTGCTTCTAATTGCTGTACTGTATTTTTGGATCAACTAGTTAGTCGCGTAAGCATCATTAAACTTTTTAAAAATGGAGGATGTAGTGCATATAGGGAACCTTGTTTGAAATTTTGCATCTTTGCCAAGACAGTAGAGGGGAAGAAGCAGAGCCAAGAGGAGAAGGTGACACTCACCTCTGAGGCTATAATTTTTGGGATCCTCACTGGGACATTATACTAAATGACCAACATGACACCAGCTTTGTACACTTATAGTTCTTTGAATGATAATATGCCTATGATATTGTCATTGTTAAATTTTATTATTTGTTCAGAAATTAGTATCAATTCTGGTTTTGGAGTAAACTGCTGCTACAGGCTGCTAATTTGTTGCCAATATCATACACCATATCTAAGAATTCATTTTTAACCTTTTTTTCCTATTACATTCTTTTCCTTATTTATCATTTCTCCACGAGTGCAATGATCATACCTTAACCCTGTAACCATTGATTTTTTTTGTATGCTCCACCTTATTTCAGAAAATATTTAAGAAAGCTAACATAGTAAATTGATGTGTTCCCAACAGTATGACTTCTCTTTTATGACTTAATTTGTAATTTAAAAAATTTATAAAATATGTCATGTCATGTCACTGAGTAGAAGTTTTCCAGGCTGTTTTTTATTTCCTTTTTTAGGTTGCACGGCTCCTAATTTCTGAGTTTGGACTGTTTTATAGAAGTGATAGATCAAATCTTAATGTTTCTAGAGGATCCGTCAAAATTAAAAAGAGTCACAGACCATAGTTGCTTGCATGCTTTTAAGGAAGAGTCACTCTGAAATTTGGAAATAGATTTGAAATCTTCAAAAATTAGAGTGTGCATTTTTCCACATGGCAGAAAAGCCAAGAGGGGCTGTGATGGTAATAATTCTTTGTACATTTCTTATTGACACTCTCATCATGCCATTTTTCAATTGTTTGTTTATACAGGTGTCTTTATTAGTCTGTGAGCTTAGGAAGAGTCTATATCATATTATTTTTGTATCTTAGAAGCACAAATCACAGAAACACAATGACTGTCATAAAGTGTTTGTTTGATAAGAATGTATTGAATGAATGAATAATGGAGAACAGACAATTTGTCCTTTATGTCCCCTGGAGAAAAGGCTAAACAGGAACCACCTCCTTCATCACAAATCCACAGGCTAATGCTGTAGTATAAGATGACAGGAGAGCAGTCTTTGCTTAGAGTATTTCCCCCTGCAATTTAGTTAGGATGGCAGAGGGCCTCCTTGTCATACTCAATAAACTGGAACACCTGGGTAGTTATCCTCTTGATTTTCTGTCCAAAGAAGACACTCAATTGGGAATGAAACTGAGATCTGGTTCTGCTTCATCCATTTGCCACCCAGGACCTCTCAGTGTGTTGTTACAACTGACACAGACAGCAGCTCTTTTGTTGAACTCTTTGCTTTGAATGCCCTGATAGCATTTACATTGCTACTCAAAGTTATAGTCTCACACTCTGTTCTCATAACAAAAATCCCTCAGGTAAAGGGTCTAATTAAATATACATGGGTTTTTCCCTTTGCCAAAGGACAGCCAAATACCACTTCCTTCACATTTGCTTAAGGACAAGAGTATTTCTGTTTCAAAAAGGAATGCATTTTGTTCTAAAATAAAATATGGCACCTATGAAACTGTATAAGATGTAATTTAAGGGAAACCAGCTCTGCATTATAACAGGATTTTCTTATCAAGCTCTCCCCAGATGCTGCAGCTGTCATGTAGGCCATGCCAATGTCTGGTGTCATGCCAGTTTGATGCAAGTTGGTTCCACTTGTCACCCTTTCGATTTCCCAGCTGGCCTCAATTTTAAAGGGCATATTAGCATTATCATAGCAATCTTAAAGATGTGTCTTGGCTTGACTTCAAGCCCGTTTTGTTTCTAAGTCACAAAGTATAATGAAATACCACTGAGATAAAAAGGATTTTATTGTTTATATATGACATCAAATGCTCTAATCTCTGACCAAAGGAATTGAAGGTTTTTAAAAAAGGTGTTCTATGAGATACACTGCAGTGTAGCATCAAAGAGAATGAGAGGTGCTTTAGAACATACTGGCTTAAATAACAGGTAGAGGGGCGCTTTACTTTGCACATTTTGAAAAACCCTCTGCCTATTGTGTGCACAGAAATAGTTTTCATGGAAGTCGTTAAAAGAGTACAGAACTGTTTGACAAAATAGAAAAACCTAAAAACAGAAATGCACTCTAAATTAAATTATTAAACAGAAAAATTACTTTCTCTGTCAATTATTATTTGGAAATCTCAAGCTTGCTTAAAATACAGATGTTTACCTCAGCATCTTTAGATGCCTTTTGTTTGAGTATTGTCTTGCTGCTTTAATATTACATTACCAAATTTTGTGATAAGGATGTTTGTTTGAGATGACGGGAAGTCTCTGGGAAACTATTAGTTGCTAACAACATCATTTGACACTTTTAGTCATCACTAAGGAATCTGTGTATAATTTAAAGACTGTGAACATTTTTAAGTCTTTGGCATGTAACATTTTTGTCTTCTCTGTATTATCTCAGAAAGTCAGAGCTTTACTTTTTTTTATTCACAAAATGAGAATAATGATACTTTATTGGGTTGCTGTGAAGGAATACAGTAAGTGAAGCCTTAGCAGTGTGCTGAGAATGCGGTAAGCATTCCAGTTATTGGATTCACTGTTTCAAACACAAATACGCAGGTACACACACACACACGTGCGCACGCACACACACACACACACGTGCGCACGCACTCACACACACACACACACACACACACACACACTGCCTTTTTGGAAATTTACAACACAAAAACTTATAAGCAACTGGGTGATTGGGTCTGGTTAATTTTGAGAGTTAATCTAAATGTATTTGAAAATCATTAGGAGTCTAAATTGCACTAGATAGAAACAGCAAATCTTTGCCCTGGTGGAGAAAACAGAAAGGCTGTGTGTCTTTCCTCGTAACAAAATCAAGTGAAGTTTTAGAGCTGGAATATCTTCAGATCTGCAAGTTCTCAGCCCATCATTGGAACAAATAGGTTTTCAATTTACTGGGCTTGTAATCATTTACTTCATTAATTTGCTTCTGGGATAGTGAATAGCACCACCTCTCAAAGGGATGTAGCAAGACAGGTATACTGGGTCAGATTGTGAAAGGAACTGTTTACATATTAAGGAGTTAGTTATAAAAGCCATTAAATTACTTTTACACAATTAAGTCTTGTGTTTAGATCTGTGTTTTAGAATGATAATTTCATCAGCTGCACTATGAAATACTGAAGTAAGGGAAAACTAGTACAGGAAAAAAGGAATACAAAAAGCAATTTGGGGCTATTTTGTTGGTATATGTTTACCACATTTTCTGTATAGAAAAGTAGTAAAGGGTCGTTATGAAAGGCTTTGTTCCTAAACCTGGGTTTGAATACTGGTTCTACTATTACTAGCTGTGGGGACTTTATGCAAGCTACCTAATTTCTCTGTGATCATGATTCAGTTTCTTCATATATAAAACATTAATAGCTATATCATAGGATTGTAGTGATGACTAAGTAAATTCATAGATATAAATGTATTGGAACCATGCCTGGTGTATTGTAAGTATTCTATTATAGATTATATAAGGGAATACACTAGAAACTTCATATGATTTACAGTGCACAACTTTTCTTGATGGGGAGATGGGTAGTTTATGTTTGAAATTGGTGAGACACGTATCTAAATTATTTGAGCTCCTTAACACACTATACCTATTCCCTTTCTGTTTGTGGTTTGAGATCTGTGTTTAAATCCTGTAACATTACCAATTAGTAAATCTTTATATTGTGAACCATGTCAACCCCAGTGACCTAGGTTTATTAGAAACAAAAAGGAACTCAACCTTTAGGTCTCCATTTCATGGTTCTGGTACCATGGAATTATTAAGAGGGTTAACTGGCATATGGTATGTAAAAGTGCCTAAGAAACAAGAAGTGCTTAATTCACCTTTGTGGAGTTTGAATTTGACCTTCATTGTAAGGGGAAAAAGATAAAATGCTTAAATTAAAAGTTAATAGCAAATTTGGGACAAATGTGCTTTTCAAATCTAATAATTAAAAACAGCAGGAATGCTTCCAAACCACTGCTCCATCTGGGGAAGTTATGTTTGGGCTACTTCAGGGATGATGGGTCCTTTCCTCCCATTGGATGTGATTTCTCCAACATAAGCAGCCCTAGTGCAGGATACCTATGCTCATTTTGACTCAGTGTCAAACCAGCAGCAAGAACTTGAGCTGATCTTTTCACCTTGCTCTTTTAGATATAGATACTAATGCTTCCCTTATCACATTTCTAAAGTTAATGTGAGGGGGAAAATGCCTTTTGTAAAGCTCTCCCAATATGCGGGATTTTAGCTCTCCTGCCAGCAGCTCAGCACCAGAGGTCCCAGTCATGGTAAATGGTCTTCCTGTGTCACAGGAAGATAACTGCTTGGTTTAGGGAAAAAATGAGACACTTGGTACCAGACCTCAGCTGAACTTCTTATGTGACTTTAGGCAATTAATTAGGCTCTCTCAGCTTCACCTAGACATCTGGAAAATGGGAACAATAATATATAACTTATCTGAAGAATATAGAGAATTGCCCTCATTCAATTGTCTAAAAGTCTAAAAGTGATGACTTTGAGGACTGATTTCCCTCTCCATTGTGCCTAACTCTGATGATTCCTTTTATAGAGGTTCTCCACATTCACAGATGCTGGTGGCCCAAACAGCTACCTGTTTGGTGTATTGTTGGTGGGTTTGGTGGTATATTCATAGGAGTAGAATGCGTTCACCATGAACTCAAGAGGGCTGATATCCACACATATAAGTTGAATGTGTCAGATGTGTGTGGTTATTTTAATAAATATTGCCTCTCTTTCACACACACAGGCTGTCTTTTGAAGGTGTCTTACCTTGGGTAGTTTGAAACTTCTTTAATATGAAAGCCTCCACAAATCAATTTTTAAAAATATTTCAGTTTTATTGTTTAACACAGTGGTCCCCAACCTTTTTGGCACCAGGGTCCGGTTTCCTGGAAAACATTTTTTCTCCTGGGATGGGGGTGGGGTAGGGGGAATGGCTTAAGGATGAAACTTGATACTGTTTTACCTCAGATCATAGTCGTTAGTTAGATTCTCATAAGGCCAGTACAACCTACATCCCTCACAAGCACAGTTCACAACAGGGTTCCTGCGCTCCTGTATCTGACAGGAAGCTGAGCTCAGGATAATGCTGCTCAGATAATGCTCCAGCCAGCCGCTCACCTCCTGCTGTGAAGCCAGGTTTCTAACAGGCCACTAACTGGTACTGGTCTCCAGCCCTGGGGGTTGGGGACCCCTGGTTTAACACATTCAGAGAACTAAAAAGGAAATAGTTTTCATTGTTCATATACTGAAAATGGTGGTTGCCAAGAAGCCTAATTTCTATTGACACCGTTTTTTTTTGTTGTTGTTGTTATTGTTGTTTTTGAGATGGGGCCTGGCCCTTAGCTTATCATTATCAAATATCAAACTATCATTATTAAATTAATGCTCTATTGTAAGAAAGATATTGTATGTGTAATGGACATGCCTCATTCTGCTTTCTGATTTGCTTGCAAATGATCAAAGTAGCACATGCACTAGTAGTTACAAACAAATGGCTTCTTAAGGATGGGATGCTTCCTTATACTTTATACAAAAATTAACTCAAGATGGATTAAAGACTTAAACATAAAACCTAAAACTATAAAAACCCCAGAAGAAAACCTAGGCAGTACCATTCAGGACATAGGCATTGGCAAAGACTTCATGTCTAAAACACCAAAAGCAATTGCAACAAAAGCCAGAATTGACAAATGGGACCTAATTAAACTAAAGAACTTCTGCTTAGCAAAAGAAACTATCATCAGAGTAAATAGGCAACCTACAGAATGGGAGAAAATTTTTGCAATCTATCCATCTGACAAAGGGCTAATATCCAGAACCTGCAAGGAACTTAAACAAATTTACAAGAAAAAATCAAACAACACCATCAAAAGGTGGGCAAAGGATATGAACAGACATTTCTCAAAAGAATACATTTATGCAGCCAACAAACATATGAAAAAAAGCTCATCATCACTGGTCATTAGAGAAATGAATATCAAAACCACAATGACATACAATCTCACACCACTTAGAATGGCGATCATTAAAAAGTCAGGAAACAACAGATGTTGGAGACAAAGCAGAGAAATAGCAATGCTTTTACACTGTTGATGAGAATGTAAATTAGTTCAACCATTGTGGAAGACAGTGTGGTGATTCCTCAAGGATCTAGAACCAGAAGTACCATTTGACCTAGCAATCCCATTACTGAGTATATACCCAAATGATTATAAATCATTCTACTATGAAGACACATGCATACATATGTTTATTGCAGCACTGTTCACAACAGCAAAGACTTGGAACCAACCCAAATGCCCATCAATGATAGACTGGATAAAGAAAATGTGGCACATATACACCATGGAATACTATGCATCCATAACAAATAATGAGTTCATGTTCTTTGCAGGGACATGGATGAAGCTGGAAAGCATCTTCCTCAGCAAACTAAGACAGGAACAGAAAACCAAACACTGCGTGTTCTCACTCATAAGTGGGAGTTGAACAATGAGAACACATGGACACGGAGGGGAACATCACACACTGGGACCTGTTGGGTGGTGGGCAGCAAGGGCGGGGAGAGCATTAGGACAAATACCTAAAGAATGCCAGGCTTAAAACCTAGATGATGGGTTAATAGGTGCCGCAATGTATACTTGTGTAAGAAACCTGCACGTTCTGTACCTGTATCCCAGTACTTAAAGTAAAATAAAAATTAGAAAACTAAAAAAATGGATGGTATGCAGAAACCAAGAAAGAGAACACTGAAACGTTGAAAGGTCATTCAGCAACTAGAGGAGCCATGTTAGCTCACTGCAGCCTCAAACTCCCGGGCTGAAGCAACCCTCCATTCTCATCCTCCCTAGTGGCTACAGGTGCATTCCACCATACCTGGCTAATTAAACAATTTTTTTTGGTAGAGACGGAGTCCCACTTTGTTGCCCAGGTTGGTCTCGAACAATTCTTGTGGTTATTCTTTATTTACAGTATTCATTTAAGAAATGATTGTACTATTTCTTAATATTTTAGTTTTAGATATGTTCATCTCATTTCTACTATTTAGAAATTAGAATTTAGAATTTAGCTCTCTTTTGTCATCCAGCACATCCAAATATGTCTCCTCCTTCTATCTTTGAAATATAGTTGTAACTCGTTTTTGGTTAATTCCATGTTGATAAGTTTTCACCATCAAAAATATGTAATTTTTTTAAATTGCAGAATCAAGCGGTGTTCTGTGAGTTTGTTTCCTATCTTGAAGGCCTTTGTGGATTTTTTTTCTGTAATTAATTTGCCCTTTTATTTCATTTGATTGACACCAGTCTTTTTATAGTTTTCTGGAAAGTCAAACCTGTCTGATAACTTATCATTTCATCTTTCCTTTTTCCTGCCAATACCTCAGAAACTATTTATGTGGCCTAACACTCTCTAGCCTGTAACCAAACTGTCATTCTGGGTCTTCCTTTTGCATTTTCAGTGATTCTCTTTATCTCTCTTTTGTGTTGGGTTCCTGATTCTTAGATTCCCATGTCTTCCTCATTATTGATTTTTTTTTCCTGGCTTCTCTATTGCTGAATGAACTTTCAGTGTTTCAATGTTGTCTTTCTTTGTTTCTGCATCCCATCCTTAAAAAGCCATTTGTTTGTAGCAGCTAGTGCATGTGCCATTTTGATCATTTACATGCAAACCAGGAAGCCGAATGAGACATGTCCATTACACATACAATATCTTTGTTGCAATAGAGTATTGATTTGATAATGATCGTGACTGAAGTATTCATTTGAGTCTTTAGGTTTTACTCAAACTGCTCATGGAGCAGGTCCCATGTTGAAGCTCTGTAACTTAAATTTGCTGTGATTTTCCATTTTGACTTGATAGCTGCTATGTTCCAGGTTATTTGTAACTCTTTCTGGTTATTTAAAAGGAGCTTTTGAATTTTTGTGTGATCATATGTTGCCGGTATAGCTATGAAGAAAATATTCAATAAATAAAATCGAACAGGCAAAAGATATAAAAACATATTTTTGTGAAAGTCCCTGATGCCATAGAACTTCAAATTTTAAATGACAGCTATTTTAATAGTCAGAAAAGGAAACATTTTAGTGAGAAGCAATAACAAACCTATCCATAATTTAAAATACAAATTTTGACAAAATGTTATAATAATGAATATTAAAGGATTTCTGTTGCTTCTAGATCATACATTTGGAGCATTTAGGAAATATCACAAGTTAAGAGGAATGAGTGCATAGAAGCTATCAGTTTAGAATTATCTCTTAATCATGTTAAATAATTTTAATATTTGCTTCAAGAATATTACATACTGCATATGGGTAATAAAAGCATAGAGGGTAATAAAAGCATAGAGGGTAATAAAAGCAGTCTTGCAAGAACCTTCTGAATATTTATCTTGTATTAGATTTTTTTTCTTAGACTCTTATATAAGGGTCTGACATAGAGAAAGGAATGGATTCAGAACATTTTAGTTTTCATTTCAAAGACATTGTTCCTTCCATTAGGCAAAGGAGCAAAGAAATACTGCTGATATTCTCGGATAAAATAGTAATAAACAATAGACAAATAGTCACTTCATGCAGTCCAGTGTTCTGAGACCTTTATCAATGCAGTTTAATAAGTATGTGTAGAGGACCTACTGTATCTAAGGCCCTGTCCGGGACCCCTTGATGATGGACACCAAAGAATCACTATGATGATAAGGAAAAAGTTTTTATTCTCAAGATGCTTAAAATCTAATAGGGCTGACTGAATATACACAAATAACTATGACATAAAATAGAATATGAAATTCTAGAGTAGAGAAATTAGCCATGTAGTATAGGTACATAGAGAAGAGGCAGGTTTGTTCTAACCAGACAGCTTCAGAAAACCTCTGAAAAGGAGGTAGACTCTGTGTTTTGAATGATAGCAGGGTAATTCACAAGGGAAATTGTTTAAGGATATATGATATCTTATATTTACATTGTTTCACACTTAAAATTCTCACAAGTGTCTTTTATTTTGTAGTTATTATTACTGCCTGTTTTACAAATAAGAAACATGAAATATTAAAAAGTCTAAATGAATTTCTTAAAGTCCTAATTGTTATAAGTGGTCAGGGATGGCACAGTTGACAAATCCTATCTGATAATGGTTTTAGGTATAATCCATTCTTACAATATTATAGTTGGCAGAGATCTAGAAATGTCAGTCTCACCAAATGTGATTTTGTATACAGGAACAGAGTGTTTCTTTGATTCTAAATTACCCCTGCAATGATTCTAAAAAATTATTTGCCACAGTGAACACAGATAGTCTATAAGAGTGCTTCCAGTCTCCCCAGATTATCAGAGTGACCCAAAAGGATATTTTAAGAAAACACATTCAACCCCATCACCACTAATCATTCCTATATATTTTATCTGAAAAACTAGGACTAGTGCTAACAGATCAGTATTTTTAATTGCTACTCAGGTAACTGGAATTATCTGCTAAAATTAGAATATGCTATTCAAAATGAGAAATGTAATTATTTTACCCCAAATCACTATCATTTTCTAATATAAAATTTTATAACACATCACTTCTTATATATAACTAATCGAATTTTTTTGGTGTAACAAGGGACATTAATGTGCAACTAAAGATGACAATGCCCTATAATTAAAAATGAAACATATCTGATTTTCTAGACATTTCAGATCAGAATGAACACATATTTCTCCCAAAGATATCCACTGGAAAACCCTGTGAGGGCCAGAGAATTTCTTCATTGAGCTATCCCTAAGTGCAGCCAGTGTAGCTGCTATTCCAGTTCTCATGAAAAACTCTGTATTTGTATACATACAACTTCTGTCATTTAATGCAGAAAGACAATTATAATAAACTGTATGTGATTAACATTTTTTAAAAGCCAATTCTTTTTTTTATTATACTTTAAGTTTTAGGGTACATGTGCACAATGTGCAGGTTAGTTACACATGTATACATGTGCCATGCTGGTGTGCTGCACCCACTAACTTGTCATCTAGCATTAGGTATATCTCCCAATGCTATCCCTCCCCCCTCCACCCCACAACAGTCCCCAGAGTGTGATGTTTCCCTTCCTGTGTCCATGTGTTCTCATTGTTCAATTCCCACCTATGAGTGAGCATATGCGGTGTTTGGTTTTTTGTTCTTGCGATAGTTTACTGAGAATGATGATTTCCAATTTCATCCATGTCCCTACAAAGGACATGGACTCATCATTTTTTATGGCTGCATAGTATTCCATGCTGTATATGTGCCACATTTTCTTCATCCAGTCAATCATTGTTGGACATTTGGGTTGGTTCCAAGTCTTTGCTATTGTGAATAGTGCCGCAATAAACATATGTGTGCATGTGTCTTTACAGCAGCATGATTTATAATCCTTTGGGTATATACCCAGTAATGGGATGGCTGGGTCAAATGGTATTTCTAGTTCTAGATCCCTGAGGAATCGCCACACTGACTTCCACAATGGTTGAACTAGTTTACAGTCCCACCAACAGTGTAAAAGTGTTCCTATTTCTCCACATCCTCTCCAGCACCTGTTGTTTCCTGACTTTTTAATGATTGCCATTCTAACTGGTGTGCGATGATATCTCATTGTGGTTTTGATTTGCATTTCTCTGATGGCCAGTGATGGTGAGCATTTTTTCATGTGTTTTTTGGCTGCATAAATGTCTTCTTTTGAGAAGTGTCTGTTCATGTCCTTCGCCCACTTTTTGATGGGGTTGTTTGTTTTTTTCTTATAAACTTGTTTGAGTTCATTGTAGATTCTGGATATATGCCCTTTGTCAGATGAGTAGGTTGCAAAAACTTTCTCCCATTTTGTGGGTTGCCTGTTCACTCTGATGGTAGTTTATTTTGCTGTGCAGAAGCTCTTTACTTTAATTAGATGCCATTTGTCAATTTTGGCTGTTGTTGCCATTGCTTTTGGTGTTTTAGACATGAAGTCCTTGCCCATGCCTATGTCCTGAATGGTAATGCCTAGGTTTTCTTCTAGGGTTTTTATGGTTTTAGGTCTAACATTTAAGTCTTTACTCCATCTTGAATTAATTTTTGTATAAGGTGTAAGGAAGTGTTCCAGTTTCAGCTTTCTACATATGGCTAGCCAGTTTTCCCAGCACCATTTATTAAATAGGGAATCCTTTCCCCATTGCTTGTTTTTCTCAGGTTTGTCAAAGATCAGATAGTTGTAGATATACGGCGTTACTTCTGAGGGCTCTGTTCTGTTCCATTGATCTATATCTCTGTTTTGGTACCAGTACCATGCTGTTTTGGTTACTGTAGCCTTGTAGTATAGTTTGAAGTCAGGTAGCGTGATGCCTCCAGCTTTGTTCTTTTGGCTTAGGATTGAGTTGGCGATGCGGGCTCTTTTTTGGTTCCATATGAACTTTAAAGTAGTTTTTTCCAATTCTGTGAAGAAAGTCATTGGTAGCTTGATGGGGATGGCATTGAATCTATAAATAACCTTGGGCAGTATGGCCATCTTCACGATATTGATTCTTCCTACCCATGAGCATGGAATGCTCTTCCATTTGTTTGTATCCTCTTTTATTTCATTGAGCAGTGGTTTGTAGTTCTCCCTGAAGAGGTCCTTCAAGTCCCTTGTAAGCTGGATTCCTAGGTATTTTATTCTCTTTGAAGCAATTGTGAATGGGAGTTCACTCATGATTTGGCTCTCTGTTTGTCTGTTATTGGTGTATAAGAATGCTTGTGATTTTTGTACATTGATTTTGTATCCTGAGACTTTGCTGAAGTTGATTATCAGCTTAAGGAGATTTTGGGCTGAGACAATGGGGTTTTCTGGATATACAATCATGTCATCTGCAAACAGAGACAATTTGACTTCCTCTTTTCCTAATTGAATACCCTTTATTTCCTTCTCCTGCCTAATTGCCCTGGCCAGAACTTCCAACACTATGCTCCTGAATGACTACTGGGTACATAACGAAATGAAGGCAGAAATAAAGATGTTCTTTGAAACCAACAAGAACAAAGACACAACATACCAGAATCTCTGGGACACATTCAAAGCAGTGTGTAGAGGGAAATTTATAGCACTAAATGCCCACAAGAGAAAGCAGGAAAGACCCAAAATTGACACCCTAACATCACAATTAAAAGAACTAGAAAAGCAAGAACAAACACATTCAAAAGCTAGCAGAAGGCAAGAAATAACTAAAATCAGAGCAGAAATGAAGGAAATAGAGACACAAAAAACCCTTCAAAAAATTAATGAATCCAGGAGCTGGTTTTTTGAAAGGATCAACAAAATAGATAGACCGCTAGCAAGACTAATAAAGAAAAAAAGAGAGAAGAACCAAATAAACGCAATAAAAAATGATAAAGGGTATATCACCACCGATCCCACAGAAATACAAACTACCATCAGAGAATACTACAAACACCTCTACGCAAATAAACTAGAAAATCTAGAAGAAATGGATAAATTCCTCAACACATACACTCTCCCAAGACTAAACCAGGAAGAAGTTGAATCTCTGAATAGACCAATAACAGGAGCTGAAATTGTGGCAATAGTCAATAGCTTACCAACCAAAAAAAGTCCAGGACCAGATGGATTCACAGCCGAATTCTTCCGGAGGTACAAGGAGGAACTGGTACCATTCCTTCTGAAACTATTGCAATCAATAGAAAAAGAGGGAATCCTACCTAACTCATTTTATGAGGCCAGCATCATCCTGATAGCAAAGCTGGGCAGAGACAGTACCAAAAAAGAGAATTTTAGACCAATATCCTTGATAACATTGATGCAAAAATCCTCAATAAAATACTGGCAAACCAAATCCAGCAGCACATCAAAAAGCTTATCCACCATGATCAAGTGGGCTTCATCCCTGGGATGCAAGGCTGGTTCAATATACACAAATCAATAAATGTAATCCAGCATATAAACAGAACCAAAGACAGAAACCACATGATTATCTCAATAGATGCAGAAAAGGCCTTTGACAAAATTCAACAACCTTCATGCTAAAAACTCTCAATAAATTAGGTATTGATGGGACGTATTTCAAAATAATAAGAGCTATCTATGACAAACCCACAGCCAATATCATACTGAATGGGCAAAAACTGGAAGCATTCCCTTTGAAAACTGGCACAAGATAGGGATGACCTCTCTCACCACTCCTATTCAACATAGAGTTAAAAGCCAATTCTTATTCTGAGTGGTTTGAGTGGCTTGCCGAAGATATCCCAGACTATAGTGAAATATAGACTTTGTTCAAATCCTGGCTTTGTCTCTTATATTTGTGATTTTGACAAATTATTTTAAATCCTAAGTCCTTGATTTTGGCATTCATAATAACTAAAATGGGAAGTTTATCAGGACGATTAACCAATGAATACAGGAAAATTACTCTCACACTCCCTGGCCCATGGTAGGTATGGGGAAGTGCCAGAGAACTCCCACTCCCTATGGCAGATGATGTATAAGCGGTCTTCTCCTCACAGTGATAATCCAGAGAGCCACGTCTGTTGAAAGTGTCTTAGATATAAGAAGGCCCAAAATATAATTTAGGGCAGTAATTTTGCCTTACTCCCTGTCACCGAGATTGGTCAAAGTGATGGTCACATCACCCAAGCTTACAAGACATTTTCAAATTGGTATTGGAGTTGGTCAGAATTGCCAGTTACCCTTTCCATGGGGATGGGCCAGTATCAGCAGAGAAGCAACATGATGAGATAAGAAAACAAAGAGGGCTGACTCTATTTGTTCCTGGTTTTAGTATTTTACAAAGTAAGCTCTAATCCTACCCATCTTGGATTGGTAACTTTGAGAAAGATATACTTATTTGCAATCCAGAAAGTCTTAATTAGTACAGAAGGCGAACAAAATTTTTGAAAAAATGTAAAAATTCTAATAAACATATATATTTATCCCCCAAAACATGAGTATGCCATTTTCCCCTATTATGAATGGTAGTTAATATATACTTTTTCTTTTTGCATCCTGTATTAGTTCATTCTCACACTGCTAATAAAGGCATACCCAAGACTGGGTAACTTATAAAAGAAAGAGGTTTAATTGACTCACAGTTCCACAGGGATGGGGAGGCCTCACAATCATGGCAAAGGCAAAGGAAGAGCAAAGTCACATCTTACATGGTGGCAGGCAAAGAGAGAGCTTGTGTGGGGGAACTGCCCTTTAGAAAACCATCATATCTTATGAAACTTATTCGCTATCACAAAAACGTCATGGGAAAGACATGCCCCCATGATTCAATTACCTCCTATCAGGCCCCTCCCATGACATATGGGAATTACGGAAGCTACAATTAAAGATGAGATTTGGGTGGGGACACAGTGAAACCATGTCACATCTATTATTAAATCCAAATAAGTAACATACATTTACTGTAAAACAAATTCAAACAAGAATTCTATGAATTAATAAGTGATGTCCTTTTCCTCATACCTTCTCATTCATTAGAATGTGTCATTACCAAATGATGTGTGTAATCTTTAAGAAATTTTTAGCATATCTCCATATATATATATATTTGCTTTATGTAATTATTTAATAATTATTTCTTTTTTAGCATACATAATTCATGTACAAATACAAAATTTAAAGTGTATGCAGCAGAAGTATCCCTTTCATTACTGGCTGTGGTTATTCTGGAATGCTCTGCAATTCAGAAGCCACCACAAATTTGTTTTAAATTATCAGGAAAACATTTTTTTTTATGTAATTTTAAGTTCTGGGATACATGTGCAGAATGTGTAGGTTTGTTACATAGGTATACATGTGCCATGGTGGTTTGCTTCATCCATCAACCCGTCATCTGCATTAGGTATTTCTCCTAATGCTATCCCTCCCATAGCCCTCAACCTCCCAAGAGGCCCCCGTGCGTGATGTTCCCCTCCCTGTGTCCATGTGTTCTCATTGTTCAACTCCCACTTATGAGTGAGAACATGTGGTGTTTAGTTTTCTGTTCCTGTGTTAGTTTGCTGAGAATGATGGTTTCCAGCTTCATCCACGTTCCTGCAAAGGACATGGACTCATCCTTTTTTACGGCTGCACAGAATTCCATGGTGTATATGTGCCACATTTTCTTTATCCAGTCTGTCATTCATGGGCATTTGGGTTGGTTCTAAGTCTTTGCTATTGTGAGCAGTGCTGCAATAAACATAAGTGTGCATGTGTCTTTATAGTAGAATGATTTATCATCCTTTGGGTATATAACTCAAGATGGATTAAATACTTACACGTAAGACCTAAAACCATAAAAACCCCAGCAGAAAATGTAGGCAATACCATTCAGGACATAGGCATGGGCAAAGACGTCATGACTAAAACACCAAAAGTAATGGCAACAAAAGCTAAAATTGACAAATTAGATCTAATTAAACTAAAAAGCTTTTGCACAGCAAAAGAAACTATCATCAGAATGAACAGACAACCTACAGAAAGGGAGAAAATTTCTGCAGTCTATCCATCGGACAAAGGGCTAATATCCAGAATCTACAAGGAACTTAAACAAATTTACAAGAAAAAAATACAACCCCATCAAAAGGTGGGTGAAGGATATGAACAGACACTTCTCAAAAGAAGACATTTATGTGGCCAACAAACATATGAAAAAAAGCTCATCATCACTGGTCATTAGAGAAATGCAAATCAAAAGCACAATGAGATACCACCTAACACCAGTTAGAATGGTGATCATTAAAACGTCAGGAACCAACAGATGCTGGAGAAGATGTGGAGAAATAGAAATGCTTTTACACTGTTGATGGGAGTGTAAATTAGTTCAACCATTGTGGAAGACAGTGCAGCGATTCCTCAAGGATCTAGAACCAGAAATACCCGTTGACCGAGATAGGTATTTTTATATACATATAAAACTATGTAATGTTTAATCAGATAGTTTTCATACCATGATTTTCCCATATGCAAAAAAAAAGGGAAATTAGAATCACACTGTATTGAACAGGAGGAGGTTTTCAGCTACAAGTATTAAAATATCCAAATTAAAGTGTCTGACATTGAGAAAAATTTACTAATTCACATAAGAAAAATCTAGATTTAGCATTTTCCAGTAGATTGGAAGTTAAGAGAGTGGCACAATATTGCCTTTAACACTATGCTTTCTTTAGCATGGTACAACGTCTCCCTTCATGGCCGCAGAATGATTAAAACTGTTCCAAGTGCCACAAACAGATATCACAGAATCCAGCAAGGAAGAGAAAGGCTTTTCTTTTTATGTGTCTCTTTTTACTAGGGAGGAAAAGCTTTTCTAGAAACCTACAAACAGACTTGCTTCTCAATCATTATTAAGGAGAATGAGAATGTCTATAATTTAAATATATCAATCGTGTCTCTCTACTGGGCTGAGGAAGGGATCCTCTTAACTCTGCACACCAAAAGTTGAAACAAACTCTGTCACTAAGGAAGACTCAAGTGTGTGAAGGTTTACGGTTGTCTATACACAGAAGGTATATATGAGATACACAGCCCTGAAACTTTCTTTTAACTCAACAATAATATAATATGTCTATGTAAAGTTCTCATTTTTCAAAATTAAACATAACATTTATTCACTTTTAAAAATTGAAATTAAATTCACGTAACATAAAATTAACCATTTTATAGTGAACAATGTAGTGACAATGAATACGTTCACAATGTTGTACAACCAACATTGAGATTGAATACTTATATTCTTTAATAATGGCTAGGTTGCTCAAATAAAATTCCATTAATCAATTTTATAACTAGGAAAAAGTCATTTATTTTAGTAATAAAAATGCTGCCTCCTTTCTCTCTCAGAAATCTCTTTGTATGAATACAGTAAGCTTGATTAAAAGCTGTGCTCCCAGAAAATTTAGCCTCCATATAGGGAAATAATCCTGTTATATTTCTGTTATAACATGAATATTCCAGATAACATTCCGGGGCTCCTAAATTTTTTAAAAGGTTAAAGTGTCTATTCTTTAATTTAAATGTATTTAATTTGAATTTTGTATAATTCTATTTGGAGTTTATCAGAATTAACATGCAAAGTACCAAGGGAATTACCTTTCATTATTAGGTAGGTAGACATAAAGACTTAAATATTTTATTTCAGATAGCTAGATACAATGAGGTAGTTGGGTGGAGGACCAGGTATAAAAAGTATGCCGCATATCATATTTTAAAAAGGCAACCACATGTAATTCAACTAGTTATTTAGGTTGAGTATGCTCTTAGGATTTGATCATTATCATTTAATATCATATTGGAATGTTTTCAAATCTGCAGTCCCAGGCACAGATTGTTGTCTTTGAACTTGATGTATATAAAAAAAAGCTTTATAGTTAAACATAGACTTGAGATTTCATGGCTAAAGTATGTCTGCTAGAAAAAATAAATGTTTGCAGAGACTAGTCATTTTTCTTTTAGAATTTGGAAACACCAATCTTTACCAGTGTGAACCTCTCTCTCTCCTTTTTTGCTTTGTTTTATAACATATTGTCTACCTAGCTTTTTGCACTGCCTACATTGCAATCACATAATAGAACTTGGGAAACTAATTGACTCAATATCGCTGATACTTGCTTTTAAATGTGTAGAGAAACTTATTATGAGAAGGATGAAACTAAAATTATTGAAAGTCAGTATGACGATTGTCTTCATAAAGTACATTCCAACTTAGGGGATGTTTTCTCATAACATCCTGTTAATAAAGAACGCAGATCTTTCAAGAACATTGTGCTTTGTTATGAAATAGGGCAAGTGACTACAATTACTGCAGAGTTGAGAAAAATTACATGTAGGGAAGTAATGTGA